>NC_000017.11:491111-642626 GCF_000001405.40 Homo sapiens | reverse complement strand
ATGAGTGTTGTCCCCAGTTGCCAAGTATGAGTGTTGTCCTCAGTTGCCAAGTATGAGTGTTGTCCTTGATTTCCAAGTATGAGTGTTGTCCTCGCTTTCCAAGTATGAGTGTTGTCCTCGCTTTCCAAGTATGAGTGTTGTCCTCGGTTTCCAAGTATGAGTGTTGTCCTCAGTTGCCAAGTATGAGTGTTGTCCTCGCTTTCCAAGTATGAGTGTTGTCCTCGGTTTCCGAGTATGAGTGTTTTCCTCGCTTTCCAAGTATGAGTGTTGTCCTCGCTTTCCAAGTATGAGTGTTGTCCTCGCTTTCCAAGTATGAGTGTTGTCCTCGGTTGCCAAGTATGAGTGTTGTCCTTGGTGATCTCAGAAGTGTCTCATGGGGTCACTCAAGATTCTAGGCTGAGATTCTTTATGGTGTCTGTTTGGAACTGTAGCATTTGACTAATTAACCCTGCTGTTTAGAAGACTGTGGTTTGGGAGGGCGGTATATTTATTTGGGAACTGTTGGGGGTGTTTTCTTTGGGACTGTCACTCACAAGGTAACAAAAGTCTCAGGGCTACTTTATCCACAGATATCTGAACAATGTTCATAATTTGCTGTCTGTCTGTGACTCCCCCTTACGAAAAGCTGAGAACACTTTTAGGAAAGGGTGCCTTGGAACAGCCCTGCAGTCACGTGGCATGGAGGATGCCAGAAACCACCTGGTTGACTTTCCTTTCTGGGCAGCACAATGAATCTTTTGTTTCTGAAGAGTGACCCATTTGGGGTTGCCACCATGCAACAGGCTGAACTTACGTGGATGCCAGGAGGAATTTTTGTTTTCCCTGTTCTCTATGAGTTGTAGGCGGACTTTCACAAGAATGGCTAGGAAATCAGTTGGGCACAGTGGCTCATGCCTGTAATCCTAGCACTTTGGGAGGCTGAAGTGGGCAGATCGCTTGAGCCCAGGAGTTTGAGATCAGCCTGGGCAACATGGCAAAACTCCATCTCTACAAAAAATACAAGAATTAGCTGGGCATGGAGGTGCACACCTATAGTCCCAGCTACTCAGGAGGCTGAGAGAAGGGAGGATCACTTAACCCTGGGAGGTTGAGGCTGCAGTGAGCCACAAATGCACCACTGTACTCCAGTCTGAAAAGAAAGGAATGACTAGGAAATCTTGGTAGTTTGGCACATATATGTGCTTTGCTGACAGTTATCAGTTGAGCTACCTCTTTGTAGTGGGAACCTTTTCATGGTTAGAAGAGGAAGGAGTTTAAAGGAATGAGGCCAAAGATAAATTCTTTCAAGTCTGTTGACTTCTTTCTAGAATCCTATTTAAGCAATTGCTTATAAAGACTGAAATTCACATCTTACCCTGAAAATGCATGGGATTGAGGTTTGGGTCTATAGATACCATCAGTGATGTCTGTAAGGGAATAGTTGCTTTCATCTGAGTCATTGATAGCCACTTCACAAACTGCTATTGGTAGAGGCTGGGCGCAGTGACTCACGCCTGTAATCCCAGCACTTTGGGAGGCCGAGGTGGGTGGATCACCTGAGATCAGGAGTTGGAGACCAGCCTGGCCAACATGGTGAAACCCTGTCTCTACTAAAAATACAAAAAATTAGCCAGGCGTGGTGGCAGGCGCCTGTAATCCCAGCTACTTGGGAAGCTGAGGCAGGAGAATCCCTTCAACCCAGGAGGCGGAGGTTGCAGTGAGCCGAGATTATCCCATTGCACTCCAGCCTGGGAGACAAGAGTGAGACTTCGTCTCAAAAAAAAAACAAAGAAAAAAACTGCTGTTGGAAACATTGACATTTATATGCGTATCCTTCTGCTCCAGGATTAAGCATACATCTAACCTCTAGCCACCTGTAAAGCCAGTTAGCACCGTAAGATGGGTGTTGTGGAATAATCAGTACTGGAGAGGACACAGAATCATCTAGTATGGGCTGCTAGCCCCACCCTCTTATTTCACAGCTATTCAAAGTTGTGACCCACAGAGAGGAAGTGACTTGTGATTATGCGGCTCACTAGTAACATAACCAGGTCCAGCCTATCTCAAGAGGTGACTTTGAAAATGAAGAACATGGCGACATAGGCAGTTCTAAGATGGCTGAATAGGAACAGCTCTAGTCTACAGCTCCCAGCTTGAACGACGCAGAAGACGGGTGATTTCTGCATTTCCAACTGAGTTACCAGGTTCATCTCATTGGGGCTTGTCGGACAGTGGGTGCAGGACAGTGGGTGCAGCCCACCAAACATGAGCTGAAGCAGGGCAGGGCATCGCGTCACCCGGGAAGCGCAAGGGGTCAGGGAATTCCCTTTCATAGACAAGCAAAGGTGTGACAGACGGCACCTGGAAAATTGGGTCACTCCCACCCTAATACTGCACTTTTCCAACAGTCTTAGCAAATGGCACACCAGGAGATTATATCTGGTGCCTGGCTCGGCGGGTCCCACACCCACGGAGACTCGCTCATTGCTAGCACAGCAGTCTGAGATCAAACTGCAAGGCGGCAGCAAGGCTGGGAGAGGGGCGCCCGCCATTGCTGAGGCTTGAGCAGGTAAACAAAGTGGCCAGGAAGCTGGAACTGGATGGAGCCCAGCACAGCTCAAGGAGGCCTGCCTGCCTCTGTAGACTCCACCTCTGGGGGCAGGGCATAGCCAAACAAAAGGCAGCAGAAACATCTGCAGACTTAAATGTCCCTGTCTGACAGCTTTGAAGAGAGTAGTGGTTCTCCCAGCACAGAATTTGAGATCTAAGAATGGACAGACTGCCTCCTCAAGTGGGTCCCTGACCCCCGAGTAGCCTAACTGGGAGGCACCCTCCAGTAGGGGCAGACTGACACCTCACACAGCCACGTACCCCTCTGAGACGAAGTCAGGCAGCAACATTGGCTGTTCAGCAGTATTTGCTATTCTGCAGCCTCCGCTGCTGATACCCAGGCAAACAGCATCTGGAGTGGACCTCCAGCAAACTCCAACAGACCTGCAGCTGAGGGTCCTGACTGTTAGAAGGAAAACTAACAAACAGAAAGGACATCCACACCAAAACCCCATCTGTACGTCACCATCATCAAAAACCAAAGGTAGATAAAACCCCAAAGATGGGGAAAAAACAGCAGAAAAGCTGAAAATTCTAAAAATCAGAGCACCTCTCCCCCTCCAAAGGAACAAAGCACCTCGCCAGCAATGGAACAAAGCTGGACGGAGAATGACTTTGACGAGTTGAGAGAAGAAGGCTTCAGACGATCAAACTTCTCTGAGCTAAAGGAGGAAGTTTGAACCCATCACAAAGAAGCTAAAAACCTTGAAAAAAGATTAGACGAATGGCTAACTAGAATAACCAGTCTAGAGAAGTCCTTAAATGACCTAATGGAGCTGAAAACCATGGCACAAGAACTACCTGACGAGCGCACAAGCTTCAGTAGCCAATTCGATCAACTGGAAGAAAGGGTATCAGTGATTGAAGATCGAATGAATGAAATGAAGCAAGAAGAGAAGTTTAGAGAATAAAGAGTAAAAAGAAATGAACAAAGCCTCCAAGAAATACGGGACTATGTGAAAAGACCAAATCTACGTCTTATTGGTGTACCTGAAAGTGATGGGGAGAATGGAACCAAGTTGGAAAACACTCTGCAGGATATTATTCAGGAGAACTTCCCCAACCTAGCAAGGCAGGCCAACATTCAAATTCAGGAAATACAGAGAACACCACAAAGATATTCCTCGAGAAGAGCAATTCCAAGACACATAACTGTCAGACTCACCAAAGTTGAAATGAAGGAAAAAAATGTTAAAGGCAGTCAGAGAGAAAGGTCAGGTTACCCACAAAGGGAAGCCCATCAGACTAACAGCGGATCTTTCGGCAGAAACTCTATAAGCCAGAAGAGAGTGGGGGCCAATATTCAACATTCTTGAAGAAAAGAATTTTCAACCCAGAATTTCATATCCAGCCAAACTAAGCTTCATAAGTGAAGGAGAAATAAAATCCTTTACAGACAAGCAAATGCTGAGAGATTTTTTCACCACCAGGCCTGCCCTACAAGAGCTCCTGAAGGAAGCACTAAACATGGAAAGGAACAACCGGTACTAGCCACTGCAAAAACATGCCAAATTGTAAAGACCATCCATGCTAGGAAGAAACTGCATCAATTAACGAGCAAAATAACCAGCTAACATTATAATGACAGGATCAAATTCACACATAACAATATTAACCTTAAATGTATATGGGCTAAATGCTCCAATTAAAAGACACAGACTGGCAAATTGGCTCAAGAGTCAAGACCCATCGGTGTGCTGTATTCAGGAGACCCATCTCATGTGCAAAGACACACATAGGCTCAAAATAAAGGGATGGAGGAAGATCTACCAAGCAAATGGAAAACAAAAAAAGGCAGGGGTTGCAATCCTAGTCTCTCATAAAAGAGACTTTAAACCAACAAAGATCAAAAGAGACAAAGAAGGCCATTACTTAATGGTAAAGGGATCAATTCAACAAGAAGAGCTAACTATCCTAAATATATATGCACCCAATACAGGAGTACGCAGATTCATAAAGCAAGTCCTTAGAAACTACAAAGAGACTTAGACTCCCACACAATAGTAATGGGAGACTTTAACACCCCACTGTCAACATTAGACAGATCAATGAGACAGAAAGTTAACAAGAATATCCAGGAATTGAACTAGCTGTGCACCAAACGGACCTAATAGACATCTACAGAACTCTCCACCCCAAATCAACAGAATATACATTCTTCTCAGCACCACATCGCACTTATTCCAAAATTGATCACATAGTTGGAAGTAAAGCATTCCTCAGCAAATGTAAAAGAACAGAAATTATAACGAACTGTCTCTCAGACCACAGTGCAATCAAACTAGAGCTCAGGGTTAAGAAACTAACTCAAAACCACTCAACTACTGGAAACTGAACAACCTGCTCCTGAATGACTACTGGATACATAATGAAATGAAGGCAGACATGAAGATGTTCTTTGAAACCAATGAGAACAAGATACAACATACCAGAATCTCTGGGACACATTTAAAGCAGTGTGTAGAGGGAAATTTATAACACTAAATGCCCACAAGAGAAAGCAGAAAAGATCTAAAATTGACACCCTAACATCACAATTAAAATAACTGTAGAAGCAAGAGCAAACACATTCAAAAGCTCGCAGAAGTCAAGAAATAACTAAGATCAGAGCAGAACTGAGGGAGATAGAGACACAAAAAACCCTTCAAAAAAATCAATGAATCCAGGAGCTGGTTTTTTGAAAGGATCAACAAAATTGATAGACTGCTAGCAAGACTAATAAAGAAGAAAAGAGAGAAGAATCAAATAGATGCAATAAAAAATGATAAAGGGGATATCACCACTGATCCCACAGAAATACAAACTACCATCAGAAAATACTATAAACACCCCTATGCAAATAAACTACAAAATCTAGAAGAAATGGATAAATTCCTGGACACATACACCCTCCCAAGACTAAACCAGGAAGAAGTTGAATCCCTGAATAGACCAATAACAGGCTCTGAAATTGAGGCAATAATTAATAGCCTACCAACCAAAAAAAGTCCAGGACCAGATGGATTCACAGCCGAATTCTACCAGAGGTACAAGGAGGAGCTGGTACCATTCCTTCTGAAACTATTCCAATCAATAGAAAAAGAGGGAATCCTCCCTAACTCATTTTATGAGACCAGCATCATCCTGATACCAAAGCCTGGCAGAGACACAACAAAAAAAGAGAATTTTAGACCAATATCCCTGATGAACATTGGCACAAAAATCCTCAGTAAAATACTGGCAAACCAAATCCAGCAGCACATCAAAAAGCTTATCCACCATGATCAAGTGGGCTTCATCCCTGGGATGCAAGGCTGGTTCAACATATGCAAATCAAAAAATGTAATTCATCATATAAACAGAACCAAAGACAAAAACCACATGATTATCTCAATAGATGCAGAAAAGGCCTTTGACAAAATTCAACAGCCCTTCATGCTAAAAACTCTCAATAAATTAGGCATTGATGGGACTTATCTCAAAATAATAAGAGCTATCTATGACAAACCCACAGCCAATATCATACTGAATGGGCAAAAACTGGAAGCATTCCCTTTGAAAACTGGCACAAGACAGGGATGCCCTCTTTCACCATTCCTATTCAACATAGTGTTGGAAGATCTGGCCAAGGCAATCAGGCAGGAGAAAGAAATAAAGGGTATTCAATTAGGAAAAGAGGAAGTCAAATTGTCCCTGTTTGCAGATGACATGATTGTATATTTAGAAAACCCCATCGTTTCAGCCCAAAATCTCCTTAAGCTGATAAGCAACTTCAGCAAAGTCTCAGGAGACAAAATCAGTGTGCAAAAATCACAAGCATTCTTATGCACCAATAACAGACAAACAGAGAGCCAAATCATGAGGGAACTCCCATTCACAATTGCTACAAAGAGAATAAAATCCAACTAGGAATTTGGGAATCCTAGGAATCCAACTTACAAGGGATGTGAAGGACCTCTTCAAGGAGAACTACAAACCACTGCTCAATGAAATAAAAGAGTATACAAACAAATGGAAGAACATTCCATGCTCATGGATAGGAAGAACCAATATCGTGAAAATGGCCATACTGCCCAAGGTAATTTATAGATTCAGTGCCATCCCCATCAAGCTACCAATGACTTTCTTCACAGAATTGGAAAAAACTACTTTAAAGTTCATATGGAACCAAAAAAGGTCCCGCATTGCCAAGACAATCTTAAGCCAAAAGAACAAAGCTGGAGGCATCATGCTACCTGACTTCAAACTATACTACAAGGCTATAGTAACCAAAACAGCATGGTACTGGTACCAAAACAGAGATGTAGATCAATGGAACAGAACAGAGCCCTCAGAAATAATACCACACATCTACAACCATCTGATCTTTGACAAACCTGACAAAAACAAGAAATGGGGAAAGGATTCCCTATTTAATAAATGGTGCTGGGAAAACTGGCTAGCCATACGTGGAAAGCTGAAACTGGATCCCTTCCTTACACCTTATACAAAAATTAATTCAAGATGGATTAAAGACTTAAATGTTAGACCTAAAACCATAAAAACCCTAGAAGAAAACCTAGGCAATACCATTCAGGACATAGGCATGGGCAAGGACTTCATGTCTAAAACACTTAAAGCAATGGCAACAAAAGCCAAAATTGACAAATGGGATCTAATTAAACTAAAGAGCTTCTGCACAGCAAAAGAAACTATGATCAAAGTGAACAGGCAACCTACAGAATGGGAGAAAATTTTTGCAATCTACTCATCTGATGAAGGGCTAATATCCAGAATCTATAAATAACTCAAACAAATTTACAAGAAAAAAACAAACAACCCCATCAAGAAGTGGGCGAAGGATATGAACAGATGCTTCTCAAAAGAAGACATTTATGCAGCCAACAGACACATGAAAAAATGCTAACCATCACTGGTCATCAGAGAAATGCAAATCAAAACCACAATGAGATACCATCTCACACCAGTTAGAATGGTGATCATTAAAAAGTCAGGAAACAACAGATGCTGGAGAGGATGTGGAGAAATAGGAACAATTTTACACTGTTGGTGGTAATGTAAACTAGTTCAACCATTGTGGAGGACAGTGTGGCGATTCCTCAAGGATCTAGAACTAGAAATACCATTTGACCCAGCCACCCCATTACTGGGTATATACCCAAAGGATTATAAATCATGCTGCTATAAAGACACATGCACACGTATGTTTATTGCGGCACTATTCACAATAGCAAAGACTTGGAACCAACCCAAATGTCCATCAATGATAGACTGGATTAAGAAAATGTGGCACATATACACCATGGAATACTATGCAGCCATAAAAAAGGATGAGTTCATGTCCCTTTTAGGGACACAGATGAAGCTGGAAACCATCATTCTCAGCAAACTATTGCAAGGACAAAAAACCAAACACTGCATGTTCTCACTCATAGGTGGGAATTGAACAATGAGAACACTTGGACACAGGAAGGGGAACATCACACACCGGGGCCTGTTGTGGGGTGGGGGGAGGGGGGAGGGATAGCATTAGGAGATATAGCTAATGTAAATGATGAGTTAATGGGTGCAGCACATCAGCATGGCACATGTATACATATGTAACGAACCTGCACATTGTGCACATGTACCCTAAAACTGAAAGTATAATAATAAAAAAAAATAAGGTGTACATAATAATTTAATGTAAAAAAATGAAAATGAAGAGCATGGCAAGGAAGTCTACAAATCAGAGACTGGTAATTTTTCCTCTTTTTTGTCTCTGGTGATACCAGGTGCTGTCACAGGCTCTGGTTCTCCTTTCTGCCACCTCAGTTCCAGAGTCACCAAGAATTCAGAGTAGGGAATAGTTTGGGCCAGAGGCTCTCCTTTCTGCCACCTCAGTTCCAGAGTCACCAAGAATATGGAGTAGCAAATAGTTCGGGCCAGGGGCAGAGCCGGGCCCACCAGTGTCATTGAGATGGCCAGTAGTCCTGAGAATGTGACTGTGGGTGCCCTGGCTAGCGGCTGGACTTCCCCTGTGAGGAGAACTCCTTCCTCTTCTAACCATGAAAAGTTCCTACTATAAGTTCCCTGTGGCTTAGGAGGGAACTGGTGCTGTGTGTGTGCTTCCAAGAAGAGGGTAGGAACAGGGGGGGCCTGAGCCTCTGGAAGCTGTCCTGTGACCTGGCACCACAGCAGGCTGTGTGCTGCCTCCTCGTGTGCGCATCACAAGAAGCTCCGAAGTACAATTTTATTCTTTTCTCTCATGTCAAAGTTCACGCTGAAGGAATGTCTCCCATTGTCTGCTGGACAGCTCTAGACGTATGGCCCTGATTCCAATCTGGAGGTGGCGGCTATTCCAGTAATAGCCTCGTCTGGATCATTCTGGCCTCCTTGAAAACTGACTCAAAAGGCTACAAACCCACCTCTAAGAGTGGTTTTAAAAGTTTTGAAGATACTGGAAAAACCTTGGAAAGTATTTGGAATAAGGTATAATTGTAACCACGCCACGGAAAAAACAGATTGTTTTGGGTCATGCCTATCCCCTCATCTGAAAAAAAATCTCAGCAGGTTGCCAGACACTCCTTAGCAGCCAAAGAAATTGTGGTTTTGAGCTGTTGCTATTTCTAGAAACTTCATAAAGTTAATTCTGAAGGAACAGGGTGGAGACCGAGAATGGAAGTGTGCTCTTTTAAGGCATTTTTAGCAACCAGACAGTATTTGCCTCAGGCTCAGGAAGCCCAGCAGGGCCTGAGAATCTTGTTCCACTCTCTCTCTGCAAGGCTGGCCGGTGCACGGTGGCCACCAACATCAGGCAGCTCGTGGGGGATGCACAGCATGCGATCGATTGTGGGGCGTGATCGATTGCGGGACGTGATTGCGGGGCCTGATCCATTGCGGGGCGTGATTGATCGTGGGGTATGATCCATAGCCGCTTTCCATCCTAGCCGCTTCTCCTTTCTGCCCTTGCATTCAAGTACACGCACAGTTCTTGAGCTCCTAGTACACTCACGGCCACTGTTGAGTACTGGCCTCCCCTTTCTAGCTGGTTTTCCTTGCAGTTCCGTTTTCATATTCACAAACTTCTGAACTTAAATGGTCACTCAGTGGCCCTCACTAGTGATCATTTAGCAGTTCATTTTGTCACTTGGCTCTTTTTGTTTTTACCTTAGAAAACATTCTTTTCATTTATTTGTTTAAAAACTTAACGAGCTTGTTGGTTTCTGGGTTAACAGGAAACCCAAAACACTGCAGCTGCATGGATTGAACTGGACGTGATGTGAAATGAAATAAGCCAGACACGGGAAGACAGATTCCTCATGTTCTCACTCATGTGGGTGCTAAACATTTTCAAAGTAAACTCATGGAGATAGCGAGTAGAACGCTGGGTCCCAGAGGCTGGGAGGCATAGCAGGGAGGCGGGGAGTAACTGGGATGGCTACTGGGCACAAAAATACAGTTAGAATGATACGATCTAGTATTTGGTAGAACAATAGGGTGACTACGGTTAATAATTTATTGTTTATTTAAAAATAACTAAAAGATTGGAATTGGAATGTTCCTAACACGGAGAAGTAACAAATAACTTGGGGTGATTGATAACCCAGTTACCCTGATTTGATCATTATACATCGTATGCCTGTATCAAGACTTCACAGGTACCCCATAAATATATATATAATGATTATATACCCATAATAATTTTTTACAAAACACCCTAAAACATTATGGAGCCCTCTTGCCATTCTGTACTCCAAGGAGTAGGACAGCAGTTACACCAGTAATCCAAAGTGGATTTATTTGTTGTTGTTTGTTAGTGTTTTGTTTTAGAGCCAAGGTCTCCCTCTGTCACCCAGGCTGGAGTGCTGTGGTGTGATCATAGCTCAGTGTATCTTCAAAAGTCCTGGGCTCAAGAGATCCTCCCGCCGCAGCCTCCCGAGTACAGGTGTGTGCCCCCGCACCTGGGTACTTTTTATTTTAGTTTGTTTTTCGTGGAGACTGGATCTCTCTAATGTTGCCCAGGCTGGTTTTGAAATCCTGGTCTCAAGCGACCCTCTCACGTCAGCTTCCCACATGCTGGGATTCCAGGCGTGAACCACTGCGCCCAGCTAGATTTATATTTGATGTGGATGTGATTCTATAACATTTTCCCACAGCATGACTATCCCCCAGTGGAACTGTATAAAGATTAATACATATGACCTCAGGTAAAGGGTTGGCCTAGAAGAATTTTGGGGATATAGAAGATTCACCCTGAGAATATCTTGGATGCCTGGGTCCTGCTCATCAACCTGTCACTTAACTAGTATGTGACCTCTCACCTCATGGACGTCTCTGTACCCTTCCTGGCCTTTCTCGAAAGACTTCAGCCCTTCCGACCCTGTGGATCGGTGTGTAGTTACATAAGGATATGATGCCAGGTGATGATATGTTCTCTCTTCCTCACAGAGTGAAGGCTGCACAGACTGAGTTAGGACAGCAAATCCTGGCAGATTTTGAAGAAGCGTTTCCTTCCCAGGGCACCAAGGTACTGCTTTGCGTTTCCCCAGTCTTTAGAGATGATCACCATCCTTGCCGAGCTCACGCTCACCCCAGTCACCATGTGGTTATCATTCCAGTCATGCTCGCTGGCAGCTGCAAATCCTTCTGCTGCAGGTTCAGGGTAATGAGACCACCCTGGATTTTAAATGTCCCTAGGTGGTGGCAGTTCCTCCTCTGTTTCCTTCCAGCCTCAGAAAGAGAGGATTTGTTTGGGCTTAATTTGATGTAGGTCTCAAACCGTCTATCTTGTATGCCCTGTCAATTCCTTTTTTCTCATGGCTGTATTTAAAAGAAATCTTCATGCCGCGGTGTTTTTAGGATTGTTACATAACTTACTGGTTTTGGTTTGGTGAAAAGACAACTGGGTGGAGCATCCACCATCTTATGTAACTCTCAGAGTGATATAGTGAGGAGCCTCACTGTTACTGACCATAAGCCTGCTCTTCGGAATTCATGCCCTTGAGCTCTCTCTGGTAGCAGAGCTGTTTGTGTTGTGTCTGCAAAGCCCACAGCATTTCACTTGGGAGCTGTTGGTTGCACTTCTCATGTAACAAGCTGCCATCCTGCTTGGGGAACTGCTTTTAGCTCCACCCTTCCAACTGTAGCAGATGCCATCTTAGCGCCTAGCATGTGTCGGACAGGAAAGAACCCATACGAGACTTTTTCTCTATTGTTTGAGCTATTTCAAGAGAAAGAATTGTTCAAGGCAGAAATATACTGAAGCACTTAGGGGCAAGGAGCCTCACCCTACTCGGTGGGTAGAGATGGGGACATACATTCATTTACTGATCCAAGGAACATTTCCTGCATCTGCTCTGTAATTCAATAACTGGAAATATCTTAATTATTTTTTCTTTGTGTTCCATAAAAGAAATGTAGGAAGTAAGTGGGAGTAGCGGCCCCAGCTTTTGCCCATCACTTTCTATAGGAAGCCCGCTCCTGATTTTAATGTCTTCACATTTTGTGGCTGTCTGCTAGTAATCAGATGCTTATTTGTAAAGCACTTTCCTTGGAGAACCTCATATTCCTTAGTCATCTGATATAACTGCAGGGAGGGAGTAGATATTGGAAAGCCATTAGTCCTATTTATTACATGAGGAAAATGAAGGTCAAAGAAGTGAAAAGGGATTGTGGGGATATTCGCTCATGAGAAGCACTGGGCTCTTCTTAGGACAAGGTTAGCCTCACGTGTACTCAGCTGCCCGTTTCAGGTTTTTTTTTTTGTTTGTTTGTTTGTTTTTTTTTTGACGGAGTTTCACTCTTTGGCCCAGGCTAGAGTGCAATGGTGTGATCTCAGCCCACTGCAACCTCCGCCCCCTGGGTTCAAGTGATTCCTGCCTCAGCCTCCCAAATAGCTGGGATTACAGGCACCTGCCACCACACCTGGCTAATTTTTGTATTTTTAGTAGAGACGGGGTTTCTCCATGTTGGCCAGGATGGTTTCGAACTCCCAACCTCAGGTGATCCGCCCGCCTCGGCCTCCCAAAGTGCTGGGATTACAGGCATGAGCCACCATGCCCAGCCACTCATTTCAGTTTCTAGAAGTTTCAGGAAGATGTGGATGAAGCCCATCTTTATTGTTTAGAAGAGGCCTGCTTTATATTTTTTTTCCCAGATTCCACCGGGCAGATGAAATTAAAATGGTTCTCTTTAACAACATGCCTCCCTTTTCTCTGGCATAGTGACTTCGTGTGTGTGTGTGTGTGTGTGTGTGTGTGTGTGTGTGGTTTTTTTTTTGTTTTGTTTTTAGTTTTCTTTTCTTTTCTTTTTTTTGAGATGGAGTCTTGCTCCGTTGCCCAGGCTGGAGTGTCGTGGTGCGATCTCGGCTCACTGCAAGCTCCACCTTCCGAGTTCATGCCATTCTCTTGCCTCAGCCTCCTGAGTAGCTAGGACTACAGGCACCCGCCACCACGCCTGGCTAATTTTTTTGTATTTTTTTTTAGTAGAGATGGGGTTTCACCATGTTAGCCATGATGGATCTCGATCTCCTGACCTCATGATCTGCCTGCCTTGGCCTCCCAAAGTGCTGGGATTACAGGCGTGAGCCACCGCTCCCAGCCTAGTTTTCTTTTTAAAGACTATGGGCTTTTCTTAAAGGCCTTGTGTTACTATTTCCATTTCACAAGTGGGAATTAAGATTTTTAAAAATTTTTCCAAGGCACAACCTAGTAAACTCTTTGTAAATGAAAAAATCTGAACCCGTGAACCCATAGGTTTTGGCATCTATGACTTCTCTATCAGGTCACTTTCATCCTGAAGTGAGAATTGAGAAGTTAGGGTGTTCAGCAGATGACATAAAAACCACTCAGCATGGAGTAAGTCAACATTTTAAAAACTCAGGTCTCAGGCAGCTTATATAACACTTTAGAAGCGTGGAACTTCAGTTGAGATGGGTGGAATTGGAAAGAGTTGACAAAAAATAAAGATTTAGAAGAACCTTACTTATCACCTAAAGTCTATTATTTTTCATATGAGGTGAGCAAGTGCTCCAAAGCTACATGCATGGCTTTTTAGCCAAGCCAGGAGTAGATTCCAAGTGTTCTTTTTACTGTAGTCCACTTAGCCAGTCATGTTCACTCAGTGACGTACTGTAAAGAAAGTCTCAGCAAAACTTTGGTCATTGAATTGCTTTTGGTAACAAAGACCTTCCCGTCGTGATGCGTCAGTACAGCGCCTGGTATCTTTCCAGTGTTCGCTCAGGTCAGGAGGCCAGTATCACAGCATTTTCTCTTTGGCTGCCTTTCTAGGTAGTTCACTATTGTGAAACACATGTCGTGGCTTGGAACCTGGTTTTATGTGTTAAGGGAGACCACACTATTTGGCAAAAACATAGCACTTTAAGAACAGGAATCCCAGAGGTTGGAGTCAGGGAAGAGTGGCACATGTGGAGTGAGGCTGGTGGCATTCCAACTCTTAGGAGAGAGGCTGGTGGCATTCCCACTCTTAGGCCTCTTCAGCAGCATCTTGCGACATCAGAGACCAGTGGCATTCTGACTTTTAGATCTCTTTCAGTTTTGGTTTGCAGAAAGTCAAATTTCCCGTGATCATTACTGCCCATTTCCCAAAATATCTCATTGCAGATTCACAGGGTAGTTTTTCTGTCGCTTGCTGTAAAACGAGTGTAAGGATTCCATCCTCGAGGAGCAGCAGGTAACTGACAGATCCAGCCACAGCAGAAAGAATGAGTGTGAAGGAGCAGGAGTAAGACTGACAATGCGTAGAGATAACAAGTAGTGGCTGTGAGAAGCCATGAGGTTTAAAGGTTGTTTCTGGCTTTTCACCTGGTACATGTTTGTTTTACTAGAGACCAGGAGGACCCAGCAATGTTCTACGAGATGCATGTCTGGTTGCTAATATTCTAGATCCCAGGATCAAACAGGAAATCATCAAAAAGTTTATTAAACAGCATCTGTCAGAGTATCTGGTACTTTTTCAAGAAAACCAAGATGTGAGTATTGACCAAATAAGATCAGATGTAACATTTGAATTTTATTGAAACATGAGTGCTGTCAAGCCTACTAATTTAGACCTCGTATTACATGACTGTCTGACAGTGTTGGTTGTTGAGCTGTGAGTCCTAGGGGCTGAGTTTATAGTTCTTAACCATTTTGAGGTCACTGACCCTTTGGAGAAATTCAGAAACATGCACCTGTGCATAAAATTCTGCATATAGTTTCTGGAAATGTATAGACCCCTGAAGGCCAATCATGGACCCCAGGTTAAAAACCTCTGGATTTTGTGTGTGTGTGTGTGTGTGTGTGAGACGGAGTTTCGCTCTTGTTGCCCAGGCTGGAACGCAGTGGTGCGATCTCAGTTTACTGCAACCTTGCCTCCCGGGTTCAAGCAATTCTCCTGCCTCCCCCTCCCAAGTAGCTGGGATTACAGGCGCCTGTCACCACACCAGGCTAATTTTTGTATTTTTTAGTAGGGACGGGGTTTCTCCATGTTGGTCAGGCTGGTCTCGAACTGACCTCAGGTGATCTGCTGACCTCGGCCTCCCAAAGTGCTGGGATTATAGGCATGAGCCACTGCGCCCAGCCAAAAACCTCTGAATTTTTAAGTAAAAAATCAAGTTAAAAAGGTAGCCTAGATTCTTTAAAACCATGAGAAATACAGAGGTTGGTTCCCTTTTGCTTGGCTCTGTGTTTTTGCTTGTTTCCTTGAACTGCCATTTCTACTTCTAACCACTGGGGTGGCTTTTGATCTCCACCTTCACCAGGTTGCCTGGCTGGACAAAATCGACAGACGCTATGCCTGGATAAAACGCCAGCTTGTGGACTATGAGGAGAAATACGGCCGCATGTTTCCACGTGAGTGGTGCATGGCTGAGAGGATTGCGGTGGAATTTTGCCATGTGACAAGGTAGATGCCAGTTCTCTACTGGTTCTGTGGTTAATCAAATTTTCACCATCGGTTCCCCAGTCTCTAATGGTTCCATGTTGTCCTGTGGATTTGATGCCACTTCCAGACCCCACCAGATGACTAATATCATCCTCGTACCCCACAGTGGCCCCACCAGCTGCTCCCTCTGCCCCCATCTTTGCTCTGGGACTTTCCGTGGTGTAGTTCTTGCCTCAAGCCATCTCTACCTTCTCCACCAACTCAAGGCTTATACACCAGATTGACCTACAGTGATTCCTCTACCCCACGTTTTCCCCTAGTCGGTATCGCATGTATCAGTGTGCTGTGTATATATCCCATCATCATTTTTATTTTCTGACTTGCTAGATAGATAGTTCCATAGAGACAGGGTAGTATCTACCTTAATGATATAGCAGACACAGAGGAAACATTTGTTGAATGAATTTCCCACTCCCAATACAGTGTGTATAGCCTCTGGATAGTTCAGAGCTTTTATTTCAAGACAGAATCACTCTGTCACCCAGGCTGGAGTGCTGCAGTGATACAATCCCAGCTCACTGCCACCTCCATTTACTGCATTCAAGTGATTCTCATGCCTCAGTCTCCCAGGTAGCAAGGATTACAGGTGTGTGTAACCACACCTGGCTCATTTTTGTATTTTTAGTAGAGATGGGGTTTCACCACGTTGGCCAGGCTGGTCTTGAAGTCCCGACCTCAGGTGATCTGCCCGCCCATTTTAGCCTCCCGAAGTGCCGGGATTACAGGCATGAGCCACTGCACCTGGCCTGCGTCTGAGCTTTCCAAGCATTTTAAAGACCGTCTTTTGTTCATCCTCTCTACGTTATCCATGAGTGTAGCCCAAGGACAGATAGTCTCTTTATATTAAAAAAACCCAAAGCCCAGGAAGGTTAAATCAGTATATCTATGACAAAGCTAAAGCCAGAGTCAGACTTTTTTTTTTTTTTGAGACGGGGTCTCACTTTGTCACCCAGACTGGAGTGCAGTGGTGTGATCATGGCTCACAGCAGCCTTGACCTCCTAGGCTCAAGTGATTCTCCCACCTCAGCCTCCTGAGTAGCTGAGATGACAGGTGTGTGCCACCACACCGGCTAATTTTTGTGTGTGTATTTTTTGTAGAGACAAGAGTTTTGCTGTGTTGTTCGGGCTGGTCTTGAACTCCTTTTATTCTTTATTTGCGGCTAGACTACAACAGTGTTGGTAACTGGTTCTTATTAGTTATATATTTCCTCCCAGTAGTACACAGTTAGATCTAATGCTGGGTGAAAAAGAGAAAAAAAAGCCCATATCTAGCATAACTCAACCACCTTTTCCCATAATCCATGGCCGTCTTTTTTATTAAAATCATGGAAAGTAAAGTCAAATTGCATGTTTCAAACACATTGTGGGGCAAAAGTGTTTTAAGGGATATTGGCTTTTCTTAAAATAGATTTTACCTTTTAGAGCAGTTTTAGGTTCACAGCAGAATTGAGCAGAAGACACAGAGAGTTCCCAGGTGCTCCCGGCCCCACGTGCATAGTCTTCCCCATGGTCGGCACCTTCCGCCAGAGCGATGCATTTATCACAGCTCATGAAACTACACGGACACATCATCATTACCCAGAGTGATGGTCCATAGTTCATGGTAGTGTTCACGCTTGGTGTTCACATACATTCTGTGTGGCTTTTTTTTTTTTTTTTAAGAGATGGGGGTCTCGCAGTGTTGCCCAGGCTGGAGTACAATGGCTATTCACAGGCATGGTAATAGCGTACCCCAGCCTTGAACTCCCGGGCTCAGGCAGCCCTCCTGCTTCAGCCACCCAAGTAGCTGCAACTACAGGTGCACTGAGCTCCATTCTGTGTGGCTGTTATTCTAAGAAACACATTGGGCCAGGCTTGGTGGTTTATGCCTATAATCCTAGCATTTCAGGAGGCCAAGGCAGGTGGATCATATGAGCCTAGGAGTTTGAGACAAGCCTGGGCAACATGGCAAAACCCCATCTCTACAAAAAATGCAAAAATTAGCTGGTCATGGTGGCAAGCACCTGTAATCCCAGCTACTAGAGAGGCTGAGGTGGGAGGATTGCTTGAGCCCAGGTCAAGGTTGCAGTAGGCCATTATCATGCCATTGCACTCCAGCCCTGGGTGACAGAGTGAGACCCTGTCTCAAAAAAAAAAAAAGAAGAGAGAGAAAGACAGAGAAGGAAGGAAGTGAGGAAGGGAGGGAGGGAGGGAGGGAGGGCGAGTGGAAGGGAAAAAGAAAGAAAGAGGAAGAAAAAAAAAGAAACACATTGACTCCTGTAGATTTAGAGAACCTTTTAGCATTGGTTTAAGATGAGTTGAGATTGTCACCTTCTAAATCCCAATTAACAAAATAAAGAGTGAATTCCTTGAGAAACTGTTAGCTAATTCTTTTTAGCCTACAGTTCAGCAGACTTGCAAACCAGCTCAGTGAGAAATGGAGCCTGGGAGAGGCTGGACGTATGCTAGAGCCAGCACGTTTCTTGTGAGCGCCAGTACCTGCCATTGTTGTCTCGGCTAATGGCAGTGTTGCTGCCAAGCTTCTATTGTTAGAATTTTGGCTAAAATCCTACAGATACATCATTCTCAAATAAACTCAGAGACTCTTTGTTTCATTTTGTCATTTATTTGTGTGAGAAGATGGTAGCTTAGTCCTTACTAAGAACTCACATGTCCCTGTTCACCAGCAACTGAGCTTCTGAGATGGAACGTTTGAGTGAGAGCTGCACAGGAGCTTCTCGGGCAGGGACCAGCTAAGCGTGCTTGCCACTTTTCCCGCAGGGATCCTGTCCCTTGCGTGTGTTTCCAGGACTCCTGCTCTCTAGTTGAAGAGATGATTATTGGGCCCTCAGGAAGAGGGAGGGCTTTATAATTCAGTAATTAATGACTTGTGAAATTATATAGGCTATATACACTAATAAAAAATTAGGTGCTCCATATGTATTATTATCCAATTATTAAACTGTTCAAAGATACAGGCAACGTAGTAACTATGTAACCAAATTACTGGTGGCTCACACCTATAATCCCAGCACTTTGGGAGGCCGAGGTGGGCGGATCTCTTGAGGTCAGGAGTTTGAGACCAGCCTGGCCAACATGGTGAAACACTATCTCTACTAAAAATACAAAAAAAAAAAAGAATCATTTGAACCCAGGAGGTGGAGGTTCCAGCCTGGGCGACAGAGGGAGACTCCATCTCAAATAAATAAATAAATAAATAAACAAACAAATAAATATAAGTATATATATATCATCCATGACCCCTGATTTTTTTGCCTGGTGGATAATTTCACCTTAAAAATCTTGTTTAGAATATGTATTTCTATTCCCCAGGTTTTAGACTAAGGTGGTAACAGACCTCAGGGTTTGAAATGACCACATACATTTTTTTTTTCTGAATATAAGCTAAGGCCATTTACCTTATCTCTACTGAATGAATGATCAGCTTGTTTGATAGTATTCTTATCTCTTTGTTTTGAAGGGCAGAACTTGCCAAGATTATGCGTACCAGAGCGAAGGAAATTGAAGTGAAATTGCTTCTTTTTGCTATTCAAAGAACAACTAACTTTGAGGGGTTTCTTGCAAAACGCTTCTCCGGCTGCACCCTGACCGATGGGACCCTGGTAAGACCTTCCCTAGGGAGCTGCCACGTGAAATCAGTGGGTTGGGTGGTTGGGATTCAGGGTTTCACTGTATGGTGACTCTATCCATTGGCTTCGGTGCTTAACCCCTCATTGCAGTGATTTCACTGAGCTGCTGGGAAAGTGATGATACAGAACACTCTGTGTGGATTTATTGTTTGTCTCTTACGCAGTACATCATGTTTCTAGAATGCCCTGTCATCATTTTTCTTAAGTATTGATCCCATTTTACAGACTAGTAATTTTGTGAGTCAGAGGCCTTACTCAGTCACAAATACCTTATTTCTTTATCAGTTATCAGATTTGGTTACAATTAGGATATGTTTTTACTTTAGGGTTTACCTTTTAACATCTCTGGTGAACAAACTAGGTCAATGAGTCTCTGTAAACCCCAAAGCCAGGTATACAGGCCTGGGGACTACGTGCCTCCATTGGAAAGGTGGAACATAGTACTGCCGGTTAAACGTTTGTCTCTGTGTAGTCAAAGACCAGGTCCAAATTTTCACTCCGGAAACCTCTTCTTTTTGGTCTGATGCAGTGGCTCACACCTGTATAATCCCAGCACTTTGGGAGGCCAAGGCAGGATTGCTTGAGACCAGGAGTTCGAGACCAGCCTGGGCAACATAGTGAGACCTCATCCCTACAAAAAAAAAAAAATTAGTCGGGTGCACCCCTTAGTCCCAATCACTTGGGAGGCTGAGGCAGGAGGATCACTTCAGCCCAGGAGTTGAGGCTGCAGTGAGCTATGATGAGTGACAGAGTGACACCCTATCTCTAAAAAAAAAGAAAAGAAAGAGAAAGGAGTAAACCTCTTCTCTTTGGAGGCCCAGGCTCCCTGCTAACACATCAAGGTGCTCTCTTCAGATTTCCTGTCCACTGGGAAACCAAGTGACTCTGTTCTATGGTAATTTCTGTTTGCATCATTACATATGCGTAGACATTGAGCTCCTTGAATACAGGAATTGTAGCTGACTCATCCGTCTCCTCGAGTCGTGCAGAGTGTACACAGAACCCATGCAGGCAGGAATGGAAGGGGAAAGAAGAAAGGAGGGAGGGAAGAAGAAATCCAAGTTGAGAGAATCATACCTTTGAATTTTCTTTAGAGCTAGATTTGTTTTTTTTTTTTAAACTGCGGGTAACAATAGAGAAGCAAAGTGATTTAGTAGCAAAATCCTTGGACCAGCAGTCAAGACTTGTGGTCTAATCCCGATTCTGCTGTAATGTAGTGAACTGCCTTCCCTGTTAAATGAGAAGAAAAGACTATCCTTTATTTTTTTATTTTTTTGTTTTTTCATTTTGTTTTTTAGACAGAGTCTTGCTCTGTCAGCAGGCTGGAGTGCAGTGGGGCGATATCGGCCCACTGCAACCTCTGCCTCCCAGGTTCAAGCAATTCTCCTGCCTCAGCCTCCTGGGTAGCTGGGATTACAGGTGCACACCACTAAGCCTGGCTAATTTTTGTATTTTTAGTAGAGACGGGGTTTCACCATGTTGACCAGGCTGGTCTCAAACTCCTGACCTCAGGTGATCTGCCCGCCTCGGCCTCCCAAAGTGCTGGGATTCCAGGTGTGAGCCACCATGCCCACCTATCCTTTAATAACAGAATATTAGGGAGACTAAATAAGACATAAAACCCAAAAGCCATGAAGAAAAGTACTAAAAGGTTTAACAACATAAAGAGAACAACGTTCTTTTGGAAAAAGAGACCAGAAACATAATCAAGGGATTAAAAAACAGTTGAAGCTGCATGACACAAACGATTAATATCTAGCACATGTAAAGAACTCCTAAAAATCCATAAGGAAAATACGAGTAACCCGTTAGAAAAATGAGTACAGAGTCAGACAGACGATTGACTGAAGAAATTCAGTTGGCTAATAAACATGAAAAAAAAGAAAACAGGATATTTTTCCTACATCAGGTTTGCAAACAGAAAAAAATTACAAGACTAACAGTACAGGATTTTAGGGCTAGTATACAGCTTGATACAACCTTTTTGGTGCATAAATTGTCATTATCAGAACTTTCAGAAATGTAAATATGCATGTCCTGTCAAGCAACAATTTTACATCTAAACCAGAAGTCTAAAAAAAAATCCATACATGTAGAGGAAGATGCACAAAGAAAGAGGTGAACTGCAGCCTTAAAAGCAAAAGGCTTGGCTGTGTCTGTAATGTTTATTATTGAAGATGGTTAAATAAATTACAGTGCATCCATACTGTGAGATGCTACACAGCAGTTTAAAAGTGGTAGAACGGGGGCCGGACGCAGCAGCTCACGCCTGTCATCCCAGCACTTTGGGAGGTATAATGTCTTTTATGGAAAAAGTAAAAAGCATGTTTATGTGTGTAAATGTATAAGAAAGAGGTCTGGAAATGGTAACAGTGGATGTCTCTTGGGAAGGAAGTTGGAGTGAGAGTAGGTAGAGAAGCAAGGAAATATTTTTTTCCATTTACTCTGGTATAGTTTTTTTGGAAATTTTCTTATACAAATGCATTTACATACTTTGTGTGTACTTTAACAAAGTTATTTTTCAATTGTTTTAAAATGAGAGAGATGGGCCAAATCAGTGATTTCCAAATCCTTTCTTGTAACAAAATCTAATGTAGAGGCCGGGTGCGGTGGCTCATGCCTATAATCCCAGCACTTTGAGAGGCTGAGGTGGGATGATCACTTAAGGTCAGGAGTTTGAGAGCAGCCTGGCTACCGTGACAAAACCCCATCACGACTAAAAATACAAAAAATTAGTCAGGCGTGGTGGTGGGTGCTGCCAAGGTTGCGCCACTGCACTCCAGCCTGGGCGACAGAGTGAGACTCCATCTCAAAAAAAAAAAAAAAATAGAATGTAGAATCTGAAACACCCATAGCTGTCATGCTTTGAACATCCACTTGGTGACCCACGCTATATTAGGTGCGTTTACCTGCAGTCAGTCACTGTGCTTCATCAGCCATAGGAAGTAGGCGCTGTGCTCATTTGAAACTTACTCCAGGCCACGGAGCTAATGTGTAAGACCGTGAAACTGAGCTACTGTGGTTGAAGCCGGGGGCAGGCTGGGACTTGTACCTGGAGTCCCACTCACTTGTTCAACCTTCACCTCTGCCACCTTCTCTAGCTCCTACCCTTCTGGTCCTAAAACCCTGAGACTTCAGTGCAATTCCCTCTTTGTCCCATGAGACCAGCCTCAGAGCAGGTGAAGCGGGTGAATCGGGCTGGTCTTTAGACAGGGTGGAGCAGGTGAATCGGGCTGGCCTTTCAGGCAATGGACTGCAGAGCGGTGGTGGCAGCAGCCCAATTTTGAGGCCAGACCACAAGGTCCTGCCTACTTGGGCTCACTCACGACTTTATTAGAATAAAATGCAGCTGAAACCACAAAGCACTCTTTTCCTACTTAGCACATCAAAAATATGTATACTTCTCTGCTTGCTAACTAATGTTCAATATTGATTTCTTTTTAGTAACAAGGGAAAAAAATGGGTCACAAAACAGGTGAAAATAGCCTTAAAGAAAATGCAGGTCAGAAAAGGAAATACTAGCGGGGCGTGGTGGCGCACGCCTGTAGTCCCAGCTACCCGGGAAATACTAGCGGGGCGTGGTGGCGCACGCCTGTAGTCCCATCTACCCGGGAAATATTAGCGGGGCGTGGTGGTGCACGCCTGTAGTCCCAGCTACCCGGGAAATATTAGCGGGGCGTGGTGGTGCACGCCTGTAGTCCCAGCTACCCGGGAAATATTAGCGGGGCGTGGTGGTGCACGCCTGTAGTCCCAGCTACCCGGGAAATATTAGCGGGGTGTGGTGGTACACGCCTGTAGTCCCAGCTACCCGGGAAATATTAGCGGGGTGTGGTGGTGCACGCCTGTAGTCCCAGCTACCCGGGAAATATTAGCGGGGTGTGGTGGTGCACGCCTGTAGTCCCAGCTACCCGGGAAATATTAGCGGGGTGTGGTGGTGCATGCCTGTAGTCCCAGCTACCCGGGAAATATTAGCGGGGTGTGGTGGTGCACGCCTGTAGTCCCAGCTATCCGGGAAATATAAGCAGGCGTGGTGGTGCACGCCTGTAGTCCCAGCTACCCGGAAAATATTAGTGGGGTGTGGTGGTGCACGCCTGTAGTCCCAGCTACCCGGGAAATATTAGCGGGGCATGGTGGTGCGCGCCTGTAGTCCCAGCTACCCGGGAAATATTAGCGGGGCGTGGTGGTGCGCGCCTGTAGTCCCAGCTACCCGGAAAATATTAGCAGGTGTGGTGGTGCACACGTGTAGTCCTAGCTACCCAGGAAATATTAGCAGGCGTCGTGGGCACCTGTAGTCCCAGCTACCCGGGAAATATTAGCAGGCGTCGTGGGCACCTGTAGTCCCAGCTACCTGGGAAATATTAGCAGGCGTGGTGGTGCACACCTGTAGTCCCAGCTACCCGGGAAATATTAGCTGGGCGTGGTGGTGCACGCCTGTAGTCCCAGCTACCCGGGAAATATTAGCGGGGCGTGGTGGTGTGCGCCTGTAGTCCCAGCTACCCGGGAAATATTAGCAGGCGTGGTGGTGCACACGTGTAGTCCCAGCTACCCAGGAAATATTAGCAGGCGTGGTGGGCGCCTGTAGTCCCAGCTACCCAGAAAATATTAGCAGGCGTGGTGGGCGCCTGTAGTCCCAGCTACCCGGGAAATATTAGCAGGTGTGGTGGTGCACACGTGTAGTCCCTGCTACCCAGGAAATATTAGCAGGCCTGGTGGGCGCCTGTAGTCACAGTTACCCGGGAAATATTAGCGGGGCATGGTGGTGCACGCCTGTAGTCCCAGCTACCCAGGAAATATTAACAGGCATGGTGGTGCATGCCTGTAGTCCCAGCTACCCAAGAAATATTAGCAGGTGTCGTGGGCACCTGTAGTCCCAGCTACCCGGGAAATATTAGCTGGGCATGGTGGTGCATGCCTGTAGTCCCAGCTACCTGGGAAATAATAGCGGGGCCTGATGGCGCATGCCTGTAGTCCCAGCTACCCAGGAAATATTAGTGGGGTGTGGTGGCGCATGCCTGTAGTCCCAGCTACCCGGGAAATATTAGTGGGGCGTAGTGGCGCACGCCTGTCGTCCCAGCTACCCGGGAAATATTAGTGGGGCGTGGTGGTGCACGCCTGTAGTCCCAGCTACCCGGGAAATATTAGTGGGGCGTGGTGGTGCACCCCTGTAGTCCCAGCTACCCAGGAAATATTAGTGGGGCGTGGTGGCGCACGCCTGTAGTCCCAGCTACCCGGGAAATATTAGCAGGCGTGGTGGTGCACGCCTGTAGTCCCAGCTACCCGGGAAATATTAGTGGGGCGTGGTGGCGCACGCCTGTAGTCCCAGCTACCCGGGAAACATTAGTGGGGCGTGGTGGCGCACGCCTGTAGTCCCAGCTACCCGGGAAATATTAGTGGGGCGTGGTGGCGCACGCCTGTAGTCCCAGCTACCCGGGAAATATTAGTGGGGCGTGGTGGCGCACGCCTGTAGTCCCAGCTACCCGGGAAATATTAGTGGGGCGTGGTGGCGCACGCCTGTAGTCCCAGCTACCCGGGAAATATTAGTGGGGCGTGGTGGCGCACGCCTGTAGTCCCAGCTACCCGGGAAACATTAGTGGGGCGTGGTGGTGCACGCCTGTAGTCCCAGCTACCCGGGAAATATTAGTGGGGCGTGGTGGCGCACGCCTGTAGTCCCAGCTACCCGGGAAATATTAGTGGGGCGTGGTGGCGCACGCCTGTAGTCCCAGCTACCCGGGAAATATTAGTGGGGCGTGGTGGCGCATGCCTGTAGTCCCAGCTACCTGGGAAATAATAGCGGGGCCTGATGGCGCATGCCTGTAGTCCCAGCTACCCGGGAAATATTAGTGGGGCGTGGTGGTGCATGCCTGTAGTCCCAGCTACCTGGGAAATAATAGCGGGGCCTGATGGCGCACGCCTGTAGTCCCAGCTACCCGGGAAATATTAGTGGGGCGTGGTGGCGCACGCCTGTAGTCCCAGCTACCTGAGAGGCTGAGACAGGAGGATCACTTTAGCCCAGAAGGCAGAGGTTGCAATGAACTGAGATTGCACCACTGCACTCCAGTCTGGGTGACAAAGTGAGACTGTCTCAAAAAAACAGAAAAGGAAAGGAAATAGGAACAGAGATCCCACTGAAGGAATCCTGAGTTTCTCCTGAGAAGTATGAGGTTGGCTTTAGCAGCCCCCTGATTCCTCTTGCTGGCTCTCCTCTCGGACCTTCCCAAGCCATGCTCCTGCCTGGTTTCAAGCGTAGATATATGTGGCACTGGATTCAGCCCTACGGAGATCTGCCCGGCGACAAGCATGAGGGTTCAGCATTGAGCACAGGCCCCACCCTGGGAGTAGCCCCCTGAGCTCCCACGGCCTCTGGCTGGGCAGGGTCCGGAGAGCATCAGGACAGGCTCTGTGAGCTGGTAATCCAGATAACCGGACGGGAAATAGGTCCCAGTGAAGGATGCTTGAATGACATTCTTGCCAAGCACTTGTTTTGAGCCATTCTTCACCCTCTCTGGCTGGGCCCTACTTCCTGGTGATTTGTCTTTTACATTTAGGGAGCTATAGGACCACAGAGGAACAAATGGCCCTGTTGCATCTGAGGACCAGGGTAGCCTGTGAACCTGGGTCTGTCCCAGGACCTCTCCAAGGAAAAATCCCCCAAAGGCCAAAAGTGGTAAGGGAACGAGGGCAGGGAAGGCCCTTCTGGACAAGCTGAGGCAGCTGAACAGGGTAACCACGTAGAGACCATGAAAAACTGACAGGAGCTTACTCAAGTTTGCAAAGACAATGCTTTATTGTAAAACACAGGTACAGGACTGTCAGAATGGCAGTTGGCCAACTGTCAGACACCTTCTGTCCCGGGAGGACTGGGCTGGGGGTACTGGTTTCTCAGGGCAGCACAGCCCCTTTCTGCCTGAACTCACTCGGCCAGGGCCAAGCTCCTGGCCTGGAGCCCAGTGTCTCCTGGCCGAGGTGGTGCTCTGTGGTGGTGGTCAGGGGTCAGCTAGGAACACTTGAGCCTTTTTCCCCAGCTCCTTCCTTTTTGGTTTTCATATTTGAAATGTTTTGGCAGAACTGGTCTTTAAATCATCCCCTCTTCATTGTTCAGTTGTTGCTCTCCTCTCCTCTCAAGTTTGCAGAGTTTCAGGTTCTAAATCCTTAGCCAGAAAAGCCTGATGAACACCATGAGTTCTTTCTTTCCCTCTCTATTTAGTCAGCTCTCCTCTCCACAGACTTCTCTAAATCCTTCAGCTTCTTTAATTCAACTTCGTCCTCCTACCCTATTCTTTGTGCCAGGTATCACGACCTGGCAGTTATTCTGCATTCCAAATCCTGAAAATGGCTGTCTGATATCCTTCAAGGGTTTTCCCTTAAAGATAAGTTTCTAGGAAGGCAACAGAAGCCCTATGGCCACTTTACCCAGGTGGGACGGGCCTTGAGGAATCGGTTCACTGCAGCTCTGCTGTGAGGAGACGTGAAGGCTGTCACTCTAGCTGATGTTCACACTGAGCCTGGTCCCCACCATCATCTCATTGTGGGCCGTGCACGACCTTCTTCACCTTTATTCTGCGACCCTCAGTGGCAGGGACCTTGGTGAATTCATCATGGCTACCGACCATGCTCCCAACGCAAAGCACCGGGAAGGGGCTGCCTGGGCAAGGCCAGGAGTTCCAGCTGTCCTGACCCCCAGTCTAGCTGCTGGGTACCCTGCCTGGAGATATGCTGCTCCCTGGCCCCTGACCCCTTCCCCATGCTACCTTCCTTTCAGGATACACTCTTTGGAAACTCCTTTTTGGCTACCATTTTGTTTCAAAATACCAGAATAAATTGTGAAACGAACCAAGGTATATCTTGATACCCTTTGATATATGCCAGATTTTATAGAAAGTTACTGAATTCCTCAGAAAGGTGCCACAAAACAGGTAAGATGTCAGCCAAGGAGCCAAAACGGCCAGAGACTCTCCCTTGCTGCCCCTCCCTAGGCTGTACGTCATCCCCACCCTACCCCCACTGCCGCCTTCACTGTATCATTCCAAACCTCTCCAGTCCTTGGTGACTGGCAGTGAAACAGTGAGGATGAGCTTGAGAGTGTGGCCAGCTCGCCCGGAAGACAAGACCTGCCACAGCTCAGCTCCTCCTGACCCATCACTCCTGACTTCAGTGGGATGCATCATCCTTGGCTCTTTTTCAAGAGCTGTGACTTCAACATTTGATAGAACTTTAGACTGAAAGAGCCTCAGGGACAGGCTTGTTGCTTAACCAGTTTCACGATGTCCTGTGCTGTAACTGTTACTTGAGGAGGTGAGCTGCCTGTGCTTTTCCCAGTTGCCTCAACTTCTGACCCTTTAGGAGGAATTCAAGAGAGTCTATAAATTAAAATGCCTTGAAATTAAAAGAGAATGTCTGGATGTGATGTAACTGGATCCATATGCATTATTAGTGACTTGATGATTAGATTCAAGGTGAGCAAATGACATTCAGCCTTCTGCTGAAAGCAGAAAAGCAGACTAGATCGGATTAGCTTTTTATAACTGCCTCACTGGGAGGTTTTTGTTTTGTTTTTTGTTTTTTTTGTAGTAATAAAATTAAAAATGTTCCCCTTTTATGCAGCTGGATTTCCCTTCCTCTTGACCACTGCATAAGTTGCCTTTTGAAACAGACTTGTCCTTTGGCTTATAGGGGCCTTTACTTCCCCAGTTTTTAGAATTACATTCTAAAGATAGAAGCTATATGGGTACAATTGTCAGCCATGGAATTTGAGTGTAAGAGCGTTTGCAAAAGGCTCACGACTCATGAAAGACCACCCAGCATGTCTCACTCTACACCCTGGTCTTCCGGCACCTGCATGAGGGAGACTGTGTAAGGAACAGGGGCAGGTTTTCCAGCTCTGCCACAGCTTGAGGACATCTGTCTCCGACAGTGACAGATTCCCCCGCCTCATGCACTCCCTTCAGCGTTGGAAAATATTTTATGGATGCTTTACTGGTGCTAAAGAAATGTATTCTTCCATTTGAATAATATTGCAAGGGACGATTAACTTCTGTTTCTGAGAAGAGAATAATACAGGGTCAGGATAGAAAATTTGGAAATTATGGCGAGAATAGAGAAGCAGGAAAAAAGTCATCCAAATCAGAGATGAGGATTTGGGTATATTCTTTCTATATATTTTACATGGTTGAAATTGTATTTTTTTAAATACAGTTTTCTCTGCCTAGTTTTTAAAATTGAGATATAACTCATGTCACGAAATGTCACATGAAATTTATCGTTTAAAGTATACAGTTCAGTTGGTTTTCATATATTCATAAGATGATGCCACGATCCCAGCTGTGCAACTCCAGGACATTTCTGTTACCCCAGAAGAAATCCCTCCTTAGCAGGCAGGACTTTCAAGTTCTCTTTCCCCAGTCCTGGGCAGTTACGAATTGACTTTTGTCTTTACGGATGCCTGTTGTGGACACTTCACATAAACGGATGCTACGATGTGTGGTTTTTGTGTCTGCCTTCCCTCCCTCTGGACAGTGTCTGCGAGCCTTACCCATGATGAGGTGTGTGTCAGTGCATCATTTTGATGGCTGAATAGTGCACCGTTGTGTGGGTGATGCACATATTGTTGTCTCTTCCATCAGCTGTGGACATTCGGGTGGTTTCCACTTTTTCACTGTGTGAATACTGCTGTGAGTATCTGTACAGGTTTTCACTGTGTGAACTCACTGTGAATATTTGTACAGGTTTTCACTGTGTGAATTCACTATTTGAATACTGCTATGAATATCTGTACAGGTTTTCACTGTGTGAACTCACTATGTGAATATTTGTACAGGTTTTCACTGTGTGAATTCACTATTTGAATACTGCTGTGAATATCTGTACAGGTTTTCACTGTGTGAACTCACTATGTGAATATTTGTACAGGTTTTCACTGTGTGAATTCACTATTTGAATACTGCTGTGAATATCTGTACAGGTTTTCACTGTGTGAACTCACTATGTGAATATTTGTACAGGTTTTCACTGTGTGAACTCACTATGTGAATATTTGTACAGGTTTTCACTGTGTGAATTCACTATTTGAATACTGCTGTGAATATCTGTGCAGGTTTTCACTGTGTGAATTCACTATTTGATTACTGCTGTGAATATCTGTGCAGGTTTTCACTGTGTGAACTCACTATGTGAATATTTGTACAGGTTTTCACTGTGTGAATTCACTATTTGAATACTGCTGTGAATATCTGTACAGGTTTTCACTGTGTGAATACTGCTGTGAATATCTGTGCAGGTTTTCACTGTGTGAACTCACTATGTGAATATTTGTACAGGTTTTCACTGTGTGAATTCACTATTTGAATACTGCTGTGAATATCTGTACAGGTTTTCACTGTGTGAATACTGCTGTGAATATCTGTACAGGTTTTCACTGTGTGAACTCACTATGTGAATATTTGTACAGGTTTTCACTGTGTGAATTCACTATTTGAATACTGCTGTGAATATCTGTACAGGTTTTCACTGTGTGAACTCACTATGTGAATATTTGTACAGGTTTTCACTGTGTGAATTCACTA
The DNA here is from genome assembly GCF_000001405.40 of Homo sapiens. Classification (NCBI taxonomy): domain Eukaryota; kingdom Metazoa; phylum Chordata; class Mammalia; order Primates; family Hominidae; genus Homo; species Homo sapiens. The sequence continues at coordinate 612,946 of NC_000017.11, read as the reverse complement.
TTTGAATACTGCTGTGAATATCTGTGCAGGTTTTCACTGTGTGAACTATGTGAATATTTGTACAGGTTTTCACTGTGTGAATTCACTATTTGAATACTGCTGTGAGTATCTGTACAGGTTTTCACTGTGTGAACTCACTATGTGAATATTTGTACAGGTTTTCACTGTGTGAATTCACTATTTGAATACTGCTGTGAATATCTGTACAGGTTTTCGCTGTGTGAACTATGTGAATATTTGTACAGGTTTTCACTGTGTGAATTCACTATTTGAATACTGCTGTGAATATCTGTACAGGTTTTCGCTGTGTGAACTCACTATATGAATATTTGTACAGGTTTTCACTGTGTGAATTCACTATTTGATTACTGCTGTGAGTATCTGTACAGGTTTTCACTGTGTGAACTCACTATGTGAATATTTGTACAGGTTTTCACTGTGTGAATTCACTATTTGAATACTGCTGTGAATATCTGTACAGGTTTTCGCTGTGTGAACTATGTGAATATTTGTACAGGTTTTCACTGTGTGAATTCACTATTTGAATACTGCTGTGAATATCTGTACAGGTTTTCACTGTGTGAACTCACTATGTGAATATTTGTACAGGTTTTCACTGTGTGAATTCACTATTTGAATACTGCTGTGAATATCTGTACAGGTTTTCACTGTGTGAACTCACTATGTGAATATTTGTACAGGTTTTCACTGTGTGAATTCACTATTTGAATACTGCTGTGAATATCTGTACAGGTTTTCACTGTGTGAACTCACTATGAATATTTGTACAGGTTTTCACTGTGTGAATTCACTATTTGAATACTGCTGTGAGTATCTGTACAGGTTTTCACTGTGTGAACTCACTATGTGAATATTTTTACAGGTTTTCACTGTGTGAACTCACTGTGAATATTTGTACAGGTTTTCACTGTGTGAATTCACTATTTGAATACTGCTGTGAATATCTGTACAGGTTTTCACTGTGTGAACTATGTGAATATCTGTACAGGTTTTCACTGTGTGAACTCACTATGTGAATACTGCTGTGAATATCAGTACAGGTTTTCACTGTATGAACTCACTATGTGAATATTTGTACAGGTTTTCACTGTGTGAATTCACTATTTGAATACTGCTGTGAATATCTGTGCAGGTTTTCACTGTGTGAACTCACTATGTGAATATTTGTACAGGTTTTCACTATGTGAACTCACTATGTGAATATTTGTACAGGTTTTCACTGTGTGAACTCACTATGTGAATACTGCTGTGAATATCGGTACAGGTTTTCACTGTATGAATACTGCTGTGAATATTTGTACAGGTTTTCGTGTCAGCGTGTTTCCTATTCTTGTGAGAATATACCTGAGTGGAATTGCTGGGTCACATGGTAACCCTAGGCTTAACTTTTTGAGGAACTGCAAACTGTTTTCGAAGCAGCCACACGGTTTTACATTTCTACCCACAATGTAGGAGGGTCCAGTTTCCCCATATCCTTGCTGACGCGTGTCTCCTTTGTTCCCCTAATTATAGCCATTCTCATGGGTGTAGAGTAGTATCTCCTTGTGGTTTTCATTTGCTTTTTCCCATTGACTAGTGACATTGCACAGCTTCTTTAAAGAAATGTCTATTCAGCTGGGTGTGGTGGCTCACGCCTGTAATCCCAGCACTGTGGGAGGCCGAGGTGGGAGCATCACCTCAGGTCAGGAGTTCAAGACCAGCCTGGCCAACATGGTGAAACCCCGTCTGTACTAAAAATACAAAACTTAGCCAGGCGTGGTGGCGGGTGCCTATAATCCCAGCTACTCGGGAGGCTGAGGCAGGAGAATCGCTTGAACCCAGGAGGTGGAGGTTTCAGTGAGCTGAGATTGCGCCACTCATGTCTCAAAAAAAAGGAAATGTCTATTCACATTTTTTGCCCATTTTTTAGTTGGATTGTTTTTATTGTTGAGTTGTAAGAGTTGTTTACACATTCTAGATATATTCTATAACTTTTTTTTTTTTTTCTTGAGACAGAGTCTCACTCTGTTGCCCAGGCTGGAGTTCAGTGGTGAGATCTCGGCTCACTGCAACCTCTGCCTCCTGGGTTCAAGCAATTCTCGGACCTCAGTCTCCTGGGTAGCTGGGACCACAGGAGCGCAGCACCATGCCAGGCTAATTTTTGTATTTTTTGTATTTTTTTTTTTTTTTTTTAGTAGAGGCGGGGTTTTGCCGTGTTGGCCAGGCTGGTCTTGAACTCCTGGCCTCAAGTGATCCACCCGCCTCGACCTCTCATAGTGCTGGGATTATAGGCGTGAGCCACCATGCCCAGGCTTTATAACTTCTTTAGATATTTTATCATGTATCAGACATATGATTTGCCAATGTTTTCTCCCATCTGTGGGTTTTCACTCTCTTGATAGTCATTTCACAGGATTTCCGTTTTAATGAAGGTTTTTTGTTCTTGCTTGTGTTTAGTGTCATATCCAAGAAACTGTTACGTAATCCAAGGCTACAGAGACTTACCTAGGTTTCCTCCTAAGAGTTTTATAGTTTCAGCTGCTACATTTATATCTTTGATCCATTTTGAGTTAATTTCCATATTAACTCACACACACATATGAAAATATGCTTCATATGTCACAGCTTAAGTTGTTTCTCAACTACTACAGAAAGATTTTATTCTATAGATACTCAGTGATTCCCCTAATTATTCTTTTCTCGTAGGACCCTTAGTTTTTTCTCACTTTTATAAATAGGGCTATATGAATATTTTTGTCTACTAATTTGTGTGTGTGTGTGTGTGTGTGTGTGTGTGTGTGTGTGTGTGTGTGTGTGTGACGGAGTCTCACTCTGTCGCCCAGGCTCGAGTGCAGTGGCGCGATCTCGGCTCACTGCAAGCTCTGCCTCCTGGGTTCACGCCATTCTCCTGCCTCAGCCTCCGCGTAGCTGGGACTACAGGCGCCCGCCACCACGCCTGGCTAATTTTTTTTTTTATATTTTTAGTAGAGACGGTTTCACCATGTTAGCCAGGAGGGTCTCGATCTCCTGACCTCGTGATCCGCCCACCTCGGCCTCCCAAAGTGCTGGGATTACAGGCGTGAGCCACCGCACCCGGCCTTGTCTACTAATTTTATATGCATTTGAGATTGTTTTTTTCCTCTCTTCTCTTCTCTCTTCTCTCCTCTTCGCTGTCTCTTACCCAAAGCAGTGAGATGATTTTCTTACGACACTAGTGGAATTATCGGCTCAAGTTGTGAGCACTTTCAATTTCAGCCTCTGCTTTAAACATCTTTCTGTTCCTCTTCCTTTCTGTTCTTCCAAATGCAGTTAAGATTTAAAAGTAGTCCCTGCTTGTTTCAGTGCATCTCACAGTGTTAATGTGCCATGCCTAATGTGAAGGGGTAACTCTGCCAAATAGAAAAAGCAAAGCAATCTGAATTCTTTTTTTTTAATTACACATTTCTACTTCTAAGTATATGCCCAAGGGAATTAAAAACATATGTTCGTATGTCTTACACAAATGTTCATAGCAACACTATTCACAATAGCCAAAAAGTAGAAACATCAGTAGACAAGGAATAACCAAAACGTGGTCTGTCCGTACAGTGGAATATTATTCACGTAAAAGGAATGAAGTGCTGATACGTGCCCTGACCTGGGTGAACCTTGGACACACCATGCCGAGTGAAAGAAGCCAGACACAGATGTCACACATTATATGATTCCATCTATAGGAAATACCCAAAAGAGGCAAATCCATAGAGGCCGATGGGGTTGGGAAGGGGAAGACTGGGAAGTAACAGCTTCCCAGTAACAGGTAGGGGTTGCTTTTGGGGGTGAAAAATGTTCTGGAATTGGTGGTGATGGCTGCACAACCTTGTGAATGTCCGAAAACCACTGAATAGTAAATCACTTTAAAATGTTGAGTTTTATGTGACATGAATTACATCACAATTTAGAATTAAAGGCTTTAGAAGATAGTGTATGAGTTTAGTTATAAATCATCTTTACTCTTCAGATAAATATTCTGTCAAAAAAAAAAATGAGCAGTGGGCCGGGCATAATGGCTCATGCCTAAAATCCCAGCGCTTTGGGAGGCCGAGGTGGGCAGGTCTCTTACAGCCAGGAGTTTGAGACCAGCCTGGGCCACGAAGACCCTGTCTCTAAAAAAAAATTTTAAAATGAGCAGGGCGTGGTAGTGTGCACTTGCATTCTTAGCTACTCAGGAGGCTGAGGTGCAAGGGTCACCTAAGTCCAGGAGTTCAAGACTGCAGTGAGCTGTGATTGCACCACTGCACTTCATCCTGGGTGGAAGAGTGAGGCTCTGTTTCAAAAAAAAAAAGAAAAGAAAAGAAAAGAAAAAAGCAGAAATAGCTATATATGCCTATTAAAAACTCAAATAGAAAAAAAAATTTTAAATAAACATCTCTTCTTAACTACTGTATATCCCTCCCCCTGGAGGTATCCACACTGTTTAATTCTTTGGGGTATATTTTTGACGCTTCTGCAAGCACGCTTGCACACATATACGCAGGCTTTTTGTTTTGTTTACAGAAAATAGAAAGTGTTGCCCATGTTTCTGAAGAGGATTTTATTGAGGGCCTTTCATCTGATCAGCATTTACCCACTTATATTTTTCAAGCTTCCCTCTTTGTTCAGGGCTTTGGAAAAGATGAGAAATTGGATCGGGAAGGCACTTAGGGTCTAGTAGGAGAAAGAAGTCTGTACATAACTGTTGCAATAGAAGAAGTGGACATGGCGGTAGCAAGAGAGTAGCCCCAGAAATGGTGGACACCAAGTGTGTGAACCCCTGGGCTTGCAGTCCTGACTGTCAGCTAAAGCCCCGCAGCCATCTCTTTAAGGACCAATTAGGAATTGGGCTGGAGTAAAGCATTTATGGAGTGAGAAATGCAGAAACTGAGGAACTTTCATCTCACAAGCGAAAGCTTTCCCCTCTAGGGAAAGGAAGAGTCTTAAATTTCAGAGTTCCTTCTTTGATAATTCGATGTGTCCAGCTAGGGCCTCACACAGGGATTTGTGTAGGCAGACGAGATACGGATGTACTGCTGACTGAAGCCAGACTTTCCCTTCTTGACAGTGAATTAGACAGCCTGACTGTCCTGTGGTCTGAACTGTTTTGAAGGTGCTGGGAATCCCCTGTGATTTAATCAGTAGGGATTAACTTGCTATATGAAGAATTTTGCTTTCCTATATCGGCTTGAAATCAACTGTCATCATAGCAAAAAGAATGAATTCTTTCAAAATTGGAAGTCATTCACTTCTTGGAAATTTTTGGCTTTATTTAGCAGCCTCAGAGTTCATGAAATATGTCCTTTGAGTTACTGACAATCTAACCCCAAAGTTGTAATTCTCTGTGGCCTGTGACAGCTGCAAAGCAAGCCTGAGAAGCGTGATCTGTGTGGCTCTTAGCACAGAAGGCTGCGTTATGCCAGTGATCGCTCCCCACAAGGACTTGTTCTTTCATCTTAGCAAGTCAGTCTGAGCAGTAATGTAGCCCTCTAACTAGCGGGAATGCATATCCACACCTTAGGGTTTTAGGACTTTTATCAACAGGGAGGAGGGTGGTATGTGCGTTGTTGTAGACTGGGGAAGAAAGGAGCAGCTCCGTGTGCCTTTCCACTTAGAAAGTGCAAAGTTGATGGGCCCTTTGCTTTTATTTCTTAGAGAGATCCCAAAGAGACAAAGTAGTTGGGACGAGGCTCCACTTATGGTTAATAGAAATTCTTTTGACAAGACTTTTAAGCCTGCATGCCCACGTTTTCTGTGAGCTGCTTTATTAAGAGAAGCACAACAGTTTTGCCTTGTTTCGTAGCTCACCCTATTAATTACTGCTCAAAGCTTCCCCTTGCTGAGCCTTGCCCTCTGTGCCAGACAGCATGTTAAGCTGCTGTATATATTCAGTCATGCATTGCTTAACAGCAGGAATATGTTCTGAGAAATGCATCATTAGTTTCATCACTGTGCAAACCTCATAGAGTGTGCCTGCTAGAACCTACTCCAGCTGTCCCCAACCTTTTTGGCACCAGGGACTGGTTTTGTGGAAGACAGTTTTTCCAGAGGTGGGGGTGGGGGTGGGAGTGCAGGGGATGGGGGTAGGGGATGGTTTCGAGATGAAACTGTTCTACCTCAGATCATCAGGCATTGGATTCTCAGAAGGAGTGTGCAACCTAGACCTCTCATATGAGCAGCTCACAACAGGGTTTGCCTATGAGACCTGACAGGAGGCGGAGCCCAGGCAGTCATGCTCACTCACTGCTGCTCACCTCGTGATATGCAGCCTGGTTGCTAACAGGCCATGGACTGTGGCCCAGGGGTTGGGGACCCCTGGCCTACTCTATTGTATGGCTCCATTATAATCTAGTGGAACCGCCTTGTACCGTGGCCCGTCATGGATGGAAACATGGTGATGTGGTGCATGACTGTGTAGCTCACGCCTGACACGCACGCATCATCCCATCCTCATGGCAGCACGTAACTGTGTAGCTCACGCCTGACACGCATGCCTCATCCCATCCTCATGGCAGCCATACGAGGTAGGTATTCCTATCCCTTCACATTGCAGGTAGGAGAACTGAGGCTAGAAGTTAAACAGCATACCCCATGGTGGAACCTGGACTCGAACCCGGGTCTGTCAGATACGGAGCCTGTGCCCTTGCCACTACACGAGGGTGCCCCATCTCAGTTAAGGGCAACATCAGCCGTGCAGTTGCTCAGACCAGAAAGTGACTGTCCCTTCACTCCTTTCATTCCCTCACCCTCGTTCTCACTCTCTCAGCAAAGCCTCCTGGCTCTGCCTCCTAACTGTGCCCCAAATCCGATGGACACTTTTTTCTATCGTCCATCACCAGCTTAGTCCAGTTCCCCATCAGCCCTTTCCTGGAACACTGGCTTAGTCCGGTTCCCATCAGCCCTTTCCTGGAGCACTGTAGCAGCCTCTTAAACTGGTTTGCCTGCTGTCATTATAATCCATTCCCCTACAGCAGTGGAATATTTTTAAAATCCAAATTAGATCACATCACTTCGCTGTTGAAAACTACCAGCGACTGCCCAATTGCAGTGAGAAGAAAACCGACCCTTACCATGGCCCACAAAAGGCTGCGTGATGGGGCTCCCGCCACCCCTCTTACCCCAGGCCCCCATCTTCCTTTCTGTCCCTGACTCACCAATATGATGCGACTCTTGCCACCCCTCTTACCCCAGGCCCCCATCTTCGTTTCCGTCCCTGACTCACCAATATGATGGGACTCCCGCCACCCCTCTTACCCCAGGCCCCCATCTTCCTTTCTGTCCCTGACTCACCAATATGATGGGACTCTCGCCACCCCTCTTACCCCAGGCCCCCATCTTTGTTTCCGTCCCTGACTCACCAATATGATGGGACTCCCGCCACCCCTCTTACCCCAGGCCCCCATCTTCCTTTCCATCCCTGATTCACCAATATGATGGGACTCCCGCCACCCCTCTTACCCCAGGCCCCCATCTTCCTTTCTGTCCCTCAGACTCACCATATGCTTTCCAGCGTCTCCACCGGGTCTCCCTGCTGAGAACACCCTTCCTTGGGTTTTGCCTGAGCAGTTCCTTCTTACTCAGCTCAGCCGTCATCTCCTCAGAGACCTTTTCTGATGACCCTGTGTGTAGAAGCACTTTCCCACCCTCATCCCCAGCTCATCCCACTCCCTGAGTTTTCTTCTCACCACTACAGTGCCGCCTCTCTAATCCATCTTCCTCACTTGCATCCCTGGTGCACCCAAGAGTGCCTGGAGCAGAGTGGATGCCCAGTACATCATTGTTGAGTGAGCGGCAGACACGTGCTGTTCCCTCCGCCCTCCACCCCTCATATATTTCACTCTGAGGCATCCTTCAGCTCTGGCTCAGACATCTTTTCTTTAGGGACGGCTGCGGCCCTCTGTTGCACGTTTCCATGACGACTGCTTTTCCTTCCTGGCCCTTCTCACTGTTTGTGTGACTGTTGGATTGAAGGCTGTCTCCCCCAGCAGACTCTAATCTCCATGAGGGCGGAGGCTGGCCTGTCTTTCTCACTGCTCTACTCCTAGGGCCAAGCATATCCCTTTGTTGAGTGGATGAGGGAAGGAATGAATCACTTTTCCTGTACTAACTTGGTCCACATGTGGAATGCATGTGCCACAAATGAGTGAGCTAGGAGCTCCTTGATGTCCACAACTCCCCTCATGTTAATAGAGGACGGGCATGGTGGCTCACGCCTGTAATTCTAGCACTTTGGGAGGCTGAGACAGATGGATTGCTTCAGGTCAGGAGTTTCAGACCAGCCCAGGCAACATGGCAAAATCCCATCTCTACAAAAAATACAAAAATTACTTGGGTGTGGTGATGTGCACCTGTAGTCCCAGCTACTCAGGAGGCTGAGGTTGGCCCATGCTCACTCTATCCCAGATGGTGACACTGAGCGAGTGGCCTGTGCTCACCTGCCTCAGATGGTGCCTGCTTCTTCAGGGCTGCCCGTTAGGTTCGACTTCTTCCTCCCCTCTCCGTTTTCTTGATGCTTTACACCGGCGAGAGTAGGTTCAACTTCTTCCTACCCTCTGCGTTTTCTTGATGCTTTACGCCAGCGAGAGTAGGCTCGACTTCTTCCTACCCTCTGCGTTTTCTTGATGCTTTACGCCAGTGAGAGTAGGTTTGACTTCTTCCTACCCTCTGCGTTTTCTTGATGCTTTATGCCAGCGAGAGCAGAGCCCGGGAACGTTCTCAGTCCACGTCACTGACATCTGCTGTTTGCCATGATTTCCAATAACACATTATGTTTTAAAAACGAGGCCCATCTTTATGTAATTGTGAGGTGCTGTTATCAACCCAATAGACTTAGCAATAGATGAGGGGCATTTAGTTCAAAAACTCAAATTCTGTGTCTGTCACTGAATGATTTTGATCAAAGCTTTTAACTTCAGTTAGCTGACTTGCTTTTCATATCTACAAAGGACCAAAAGACTTAGAATCATAGTGACTCAGCTCAACAGCATAATCCCAGAGCCCACTGTTAAGCCAGTGGAATCAGGAGTCTAATGCTATTACCTAATTTAATTTTTTTATGGTTGTTGAAGATTAAGCTTGGTAGATTCCCTTTATTACTATTCCTCTCTCTCTAAAATATCAGCAGCCCTTAAGAAGACAACTCAAGCTTAGAAATACTGCTTTCTAACAAGAGCTGTACATTTTTAAGGATTTTTTTTCTCTCATGTTAGGTAAAGAAGCCAAAGTTTGGAGTGTGCAAATGTGAAATACTTGCTTGGGTGTTAGACCATATTGTTTATCACCAGGATACCACAAAAACCATCATCTTACTACTGATTACCTCGAGCTAATGCCATCACCACAAGGCTTTGTCATGCACCGAGGCTGTATCTGTCCACATCACTTGCATCCAAGTGTTTTGGCCAAAAAATAAGCAGTTATTAAATGACTGTTAGCAGTATTGTCTTAAACCAAAAACCAGACGCAGGTGTAGTGCTTTTGTGCAATGTATTTATTTTATTGTATTTTATTTTTGAGACGGAGTCTCGCTTTGTCACCCAGGCTGGAGTGCAGTGGTGCCATCTTGGCTCACTGCAACCTCCACTTCCTGGATTCAAGCAATTCTTGTGCCTCAGCCTCCCAAGTAGCTGGGATTACAGGCGCCTACCACCACGCTGCTAATTTTGGTATTTTTAGTAGAGACAGGCTTTCACCATGTTGTTCAGGCTGGTCTTGAACTCCTGACCTCAAGTGATCCGCCGCCTCAGCCTCCCAAAGTGCTGGGATTCCAGGTGTGAGCCACTGCACCCGGCCTTTGTGTAAGTTTTGGTTTTATTTTTGTTTGTAATAGCTTCAGATGGTGTCCTGGCACTTGGCAAAGTTATTCACGCTATAGTCCATCTGCTGTCCCTTTTGGCTTAGAGATTAATTCAGATTGACCCACTGGTATTGGCTAAAATACCAAGTACATTTAGAAACTCCCTCTCCATTAACTTCTCGTCTCCAGAGAGCCATGCCTTGCCCCCTTCCCTCGTCCCCAGCACCAAGCAGTCCCTCTTTTCTGTTTGTCCAGTTGGCCTCCTTTCTGCTAAAGCCTTCAGCTCCCAGGCATAAACAACATCTCTAGGTGAAAACTGTAAAGGAATTCCAGAGAGCTGCCTTGATTCTGTAGTTGTACTGGAATTAACGTCATCAGTGACCCTTGTGTGTATCATGTGCTGCTTCTAGGGTTTCACATTTGATCCTCCAGATAGTCCTGTGACTACATCCTCATTCAGCAGATGAAGTTACTGAGGCTCAGAGAAGCTGGGTGATAGGGCCAGTGCCGCACGGTTGGAGCTACAGCTACCATGCCTCCTGCCTGCAGCCTTCCCACTGGCCCATGTTTCCACTCCGTGATGTATTTTGAAATAGTGGTCATATTTGGAAGCTGAGAAGTCGATTTTCTCAAGGAGATTTCTGTTGTGGTTGTTGTAATGGGGCTTACTTGGGAAGAGACATCTGTTAATCTAGAACACATGAGATTAGTTTTGTAGTTTGTTCTTGCGTTGAAATCCATCTGGCACTTTGATTCATTTCTATTTACTGAGGACCTGCTACATGCTAGGCACTGAGATAGGATGGGGAACAAGACAGACACAATCTCTGCCATCATGGAGGCCAGAAGGGAAAAGACAAATAATGGGCAATTGCTATATTTTAATAAATGCCTGGGTAGGAGACATGTAGCTTGGTTTGGGAACACGTGTCAGGGACATCTGACCCAAACCTGACAGATGGGAAAGGCTTCCCAGCAGAACGGAGTTCCGGTTTGAGGACTGAGGATGCGTGAGCGTTTTAGCCAGATTCGAGTTGGGGCGGGGTGGTCGGGGAGGTTGCAGGAAGAGGGAAAGCACTGTGAAGGCCCGGAGGCAAGAATGTGGTCTGGGTTGCCTCAGTTCTTCTTTATCAGATAGCGTGCATGACTTCCTTGTTGGAGACACCTAGAAAAAGCAGATCAATGGGGAAAGCTATTGAATATGCTCAGAAAACACTTCTCTTTCTCATATCTACCTAACAGAAAAAGCTTGAGTCTCCACCCCCATCTACCAATCCCTTCCTGGAAGATGAGCCAACACCAGAGATGGAGGAACTGGCAACGGAGAAAGGAGATTTAGATCAAGTAAGTCTGGTTTGCGTCACCACGGGTAACCTACCCAATGTGCGTTTCTGAAAATCGGTCTGCTTGCTCCAGATACGATCCTTTGGCTCTTGGCCACGTTCAGAGATGACAGCTGTTGTGGTCTTTACAGAAGGCCTTTATCTGAAAGTGCATGTAGAAAACTCCATGAAAGGGCAGACTTCCCTGCCCACATCTCTGCTCCTGAAGAGCCCCGCCTCCAGGACACACACAAGCTTCATTAGCCACTGTGGTGGGGCCAGGAGAGTTCTGCTCTGCCTCATTCAGCATCTCCTGAGCTTGTCAGCTGAGTTTTTGGTTTGACTGTCATCTGGTACAGTGATGATGAGAGAGGCTGAACAATCCCCGGGAAGCCAGCAGCACCCTCGGCTAGGAGAGGCCTCCATGCAGTGTAAGCTGATCACTTTAGGTCTGGAAGCCATTGGGGAGGCCTGGAAATGTCAAGGTGGCCAGTGGCATATTTGAAGAGTTACTTTTCAGAGCACACTAACACTTTAATTTCCTTTGGATTTTTCTGTCCAAGTCTAAATTTCCTCTCCCTTCATCCTACAGAATGGTGTTTTTGGTTAACTGCCATGTTATGACAAGGGAGGTTAGAGCAATAAATCAGAACGTTTCCCTTCTAGATTAGTGATCCCTGTTTTTAATTGTCTACACTTGGCTGCTGGAGGATTATTTTACGGTATTGTTTTGCTCCAGACACCACCAAAAGGGAGGCTGGCTGGGAGGACCAGCTCTGAGAAACCTGTAACCATGTACTTTGCAGCTAGCCCTGCATTCATTCTTTCCCAGCACCACAAGGGCAGGAGCCAAGAGAGCAGAGCTTCCAGGAGCAGTTCTGAAATGATGCAATCAAATGTGTCTGGTCCCTTGATTAAATGATTGTAATAGAATGGATACTCACACTTTTATAGTCCTTTGCACTTTTAAATTCTTTTACATGCTTTATGTTATCGTCACAATTCCTGCCTCTTGCTTTATAGGTGATGAAACTGCAGCTCAGAGAGGTTAAGTGGTTGGCCCAGGGTTGCACAGCTTGGAAGTGGAGGAGCTTAAACTGGAAGCCAGGTCTCAATGTCAGAAACTAGAATTCCTTTCCCAGTGCTATTTTGTTGATGGACTCATGTCTCATTGAAGAGTAGAGGACATAGAACTGAATCTCAGGAATAGAAGTAAATGAACAAAACTGATGGGACATCTTGAGGAGGCTCCATCCCGGAGATGTATTTATAGGATTAGATGCAGTTGATTTAAAGCCGTCATAGTATTGACTGGCATGGAAGAAAACAAACAGTTTCTTGTAACTAATTAAATGCAGTTCTCAATTGCATTTTGGGAGCAGGGACTAGGGTGGAAAGAAGGCTCTGGGTGTAGAGCCCATGCTTCTGGCATGTCCTCCACCCACACAGGGCCACCTCTGCCCTGTGAGCATGCTTTGCGCAGGAGAGCCATTTGCAGAGCCCTGATGTCTCACGAATGCTAGTAGCTGCCATGGTCATGTCCGAAATTGTGCAGTTAAACACTCAGATGCTTGCAGTGTTGCCAGGAAAAGTTATTCTTTTCGCTAGTCATCTCTGGATGTTATTAAATTGGATTAAGATAGGCCCCATTACCTACAAAATCAGTTTTGCCAGGTAAAATGTAATTTTCCTTTTTCTTGGAACTTTTTCCTCCTATGAAAGCTTGAAGTTACTGTTGTAAGGACCAAGACCTGCTCATTCTAAGAACACAGAACACTGACATCTGACCAGTACATGGGGTAAAGCAGAGTCAGGTGCTGGGAAAATGCTGGACTCTTGTCGGCCATTAACCGACTGACCATGTGACCTTCAGTAGGTTATTCTCTCTTTAGACTTCCCTAGCTTGTCTTTAGTGAGAGCTAATGGTTTTCAAACTGTATTCCTTGGTGCCCCATCAGATGTCACTGTGGAAGTTAGGAGGAGGCCAGAGACCTAGATCCCTGCGATCAGAGCAGTTTTATCGCAAGTCATTTTGTTTTTGTTTTTTTTTTTAATTTATTTATTTTTTATTGATAATTCTTGGGTGTTTCTCACAGAGGGGGATTTGGCAGGGTCATAGGACAATAGTGGAGGGAAGGTCAGCAGATAAACAAGTGAACAAAGGTCTCTGGTTTTCCTAGGCAGAGGACCCTGAGGCCTTCCGCAGTGTTTGTGTCCCTGGGTACTTGAGATTAGGGAGTGGTGATGACTCTTAACGAGCATGCTGCCTTCAAGCATCTGTTTAACAAAGCACATCTTGCACCGCCCTTAATCCATTTAACCCTGAGTGGACACAGCACATGTTTCAGAGAGCACAGGGTTGGGGGTAAGGTCACAGATCAACAGGATCCCAAGGCAGAAGAAGTTTTCTTAGTACAGAACAAAATGAAAAGTCTCCCATGTCTACTTCTCTCTACACAGACACGGCAACCATCCGATTTCTCAATCTTTTCCCCACCTTTCCCCACTTTCTATTCCACAAAGCCGCCATTGTCATCATGGCCCGTTCTCAATGAGCTGTTGGGTACACCTCCCAGACAGGGTGGTGGCCGGGCAGAGGGGCTCCTCACTTCCCAGTAGGGGCGGCCGGGCAGAGGCGCCCCTCACCTCCCGGGCGGGGCGGCTGGCCGGGCGGGGGGCTGACCCCCCCACCTCCCTCCCGGACGGGGCGGCTGGCCTGGCAGAGGGGCTCCTCACTTCCCAGTAGGGGTGGCTGGGCAGAGGCGCCCCTCACCTCCCGGATGGGGCGGCTGGCCGGGTTGGGGGCTGACCCCCCCCCCCACCTCCCTCCCGGACGGGGCGGCTGGCCTGGCAGAGGGGCTCCTCACTTCCCAGTAGGGGCGGCTGGGCAGAGGCGCCCCTCACCTCCCGGACGGGGCGGCTGGCCGGGCATGGGGCTGACCCCCCCACCTCCCTCCCGGACGGGGTGGCTGCCGGGCGGAGACGCTCCTCACTTCCCAGACGGGGTGGCTGCCGGGCAGAGAGGCTCCTCACTTCTCAGACGGGGCGGCTGCCGGGCGGAGGGGCTCCTCACTTCTCAGACGGGGCGGTTGCCGGGCAGAGGGTCTCCTCACTTCTCAGACGGGGCGGCCGGGCAGAAATGCTCCTCACCTCCCAGACCGGGTCGCGGCCGGGCAGAGGTGCTCCTCACATCCCAGACGGGGCGGCAGGGCAGAGGCGCTCCCCACATCTCAGACAATGGGCAGCCGGGCAGAGACGCTCCTCACTTCCTAGATGTGATGGCGGCCGGGAAGAGGTGCTCCTCACTTCCTAGGTGGGATGGCGGCCGGGCGGAGACGCTCCTCACTTTCCAGACTGGGCAGCCAGGCAGAGGGGCTCCTCACATCCCAGATGATGGGCGGCCAGGCAGAGACGCTTCTCACTTCCCAGACGGGGTGGTGGCCGGGCAGAGGCTGCAATCTCGGCACTTTGGGAGGCCAAGGCAGGCGGCTGGGAGGTGGAGGTTGTAGCGAGCTGAGATCACGCCCCTGCACTCCAGCCTGGGCACCATTGAGCACTGAGTGAACGAGACTCCGTCTGCAATCCCGGCACCTCGGGAGGCCGAGGCTGGCGGATCACTTGCGGTTAGGGGCTGGAGACCGGCCTGGCCAACCCAGCGAAACCCCGTCTCCACCAAAACCAGTCAGGTGTGGCGGCGCGAGCCTGCAATCGCAGGCACTCGGCAGGCTGAGTCAGGAGAATCAGGCAGGGAGGTTGCAGTGAGCCGAGATGGCAGCAGTACAGTCCAGCTTCGGCTCAGCATGAGAGGGAGACCGTGGAAAGAGAGGGAGAGGGAGACCGTGGGGAGAGGGAGAGGGAGAGGGAGAGCTGCAAGTCATTTTGTATTGTGGGCTTTCAGATGAAATTTTTTTTTGAACCAGAGGTTTTATGTAATTTAAAAAAAAAATGGCCGGGAATGGTGGCTCATGCCTGTAATCCCAGCACTTTGGGAGGCTGAGGCAGGCCGATCACCTGAGGTCAGGAGTTCAAAACCAGCCTGACCAACATGGTGAAACTATGTTGAAACCATACTAAACAACATGGTGAAACCATACTAAAAATACAAAATTAGCCGGGCGTGGTGGTGCATGCCTGTAATCCCAGCTACTCAGGAGGCTGAGGCAGGAGAATCGTGTGAACTTGGGAGGCGGAGGTTACAGTGAGCCGAGATCACGCCATTGCACTATAGCCTGGGTGACAGAGTGAGACTCCATCTCAAAAGAAACAACTAAACCCCCTAATCTAGCTGATCCACCCACCATTTCATGGGCTATTACTGATTAGTAATAACACTTACATGCCAGTGACTAATGCCTCCAC
Organism: Homo sapiens; assembly: GCF_000001405.40. NCBI lineage: Eukaryota > Metazoa > Chordata > Mammalia > Primates > Hominidae > Homo > Homo sapiens. The sequence goes on along the minus strand of NC_000017.11, from coordinate 597,457 downwards.
CCACGCCATCCCTTACCTCCTGCTGCGTCACCAGCCCTGGCCTTGCTGGTGGCTGATTAGGTGGGCGCCCCAGGATCTCCCTCTTCCCAGAGTGGGGTGCACAACAAAAGCAGACCTCTTGGGGTGGGGGAGGGACCCCACCAGGTGTTAGTGGTGAAATCAGCCAGAGGTGGTTGGAGGGAAGGTCTCTGCCGGCTCTGTGGGTGACCTAACCCATTTCATGGCTGCAGTCAGTAGCCATGTGGCCCTCAAGGTAAGGGTCACACCCTGCTCACTACTGCAGTTTACGCCTCGCTGCTGAGAAGAGAGAGGGAACCTGAAAGAAGGTATTTCGTTTACAAGAGGGCCTGAGCAATCAGTTGCCAAGATATTCCCAATGATAAAAACTGACATCTGAAAGGAGCCTGAGGGACACTGAAAGCATAACAGAAAGGAGCAGAAATAAGGAATGTCCCTTCTGGTGATCCGAGCGGTTCGATTTAATCTGTTTACATTGGGTAGTAATGAAAGGAAGTGGGACCAGCTGCAGACCTCCTCACTGTGACAACAGTAACCTTTTATTATTCCACCAAACTCCAGGAGGAAATAGCTTAAACATCTTCAGCTTTTGGACAGAATTCACACACTCAGAACCCGGCCCAAACATTACTGCTAAATGACTTAGTGTAGTGTTTAAGCTGAGAATCAACCCTTTGGGCAGTTGCTTGGTGCAAAGGGAAATGCCAGTTAGCCAAAATTCCAGCACCTACTATCTAAACTGAGCACGTTCATAACGTAGCCATAGGCAGGAGGCAGCCCTGCAGGAAAAAAGTAAGAAAAAAGGAAACTTCAGGCAGTCTCTCCCATTATTCCTCTCTTGCTTCAGCTCACTAGAAGTGCTGCAAGAGGACCCGGGTGCTGTGGTGGCAGGGTCAAGGGTCCCTCCTCACTGCAGAAGAGTGCTGTTGGTGGGGAGGGCAGGGCAGGGCAGCGTCATCTGCAGATAGAGGTGGAACCCTGGCACTGCCTGGTCATGCAGCTTTCTGAGTGTCCTGTGGGGCCTCATCAAGGGCAGGACCTGTGGGACGTCATCAAGGGCAGGGCCTGTGGCAGACTGAACAAGATGAGTTCGTTGGAATTATGTAGCCATTTTCTTTACTCACTTGGAATCTGTATTTTATACCTAAGAGATGAGCTCTTCACACTTACTCCAACATAGTTTCTTTCAAATCATATATCACTTTTGTGCATACATAAAAAGGAAACTATAGGCAAAATAAATAAAGATATTTCTAAAACTTCTTCACATGCAGGTCCACATCTTCTGAACCACTTTTTAAAAAACTTTATATTTTGAAATAATTATGGGCTCATAAATTATAAACCTAGTACAGCGAGGTACAGTGTACTGATCTCCCAGCGTCCTCCAGGGGACAGCTAACATAGTAGAGTCCATCATCAAACCAGGAAATTGATCCAGACCCCTTCCCATCTCCCAGCTTCCTCCAGGGGGACACTAGAGTGCATCATCAAACGAGGAAATTGATCCAGACCCCTTCCCATCTCCCAGCTTCCTCCAGGGGGACACTAGAGTGCATCATCAAACGAGGAAATTGATCCAGACCCCTTCCCATCTCCCAGCTTCCTCCAGGGGGACACTAGAGTGCATCATCAAATCAGGAAATTGATCCAGACCCCTTCCCATCTCCCAGCTTCCTCCAGGGGGACACTAGAGTGCATCATCAAACCAGGAAATTGATCCAGACCCCTTCCCATCTCCCAGCTTCCTCCAGGGGGGGCACTAGAGTGCATCATCAAACCAGGAAATTGATCCAGACCCCTTCCCATCTCCCAGCTTCCTCCAGGGGGGACACTAGAGTGCATCATCAAACCAGGAAATTGATCCAGACCCCTTCCCATCTCCCAGCTTCCTCCGGGGGGGCACTAGAGTGCATCATCAAATCAGGAAATTGATCCAGACCCCTTCCCATCTCCCAGCTTCCTCGAGGGCAGGGCACTAGAGTGCATCATCAAACCAGGAAATTGATCCAGACCCCTTCCCATCTCCCAGCTTCCTCCAGGGGGGACACTAGAGTGCATCATCAAACCAGGAAATTGATCCAGACCCCTTCCCATCTCCCAGCTTCCTCCAGGGGGACACTAGAGTGCATCATCAAATCAGGAAATTGATCCAGACCCCTTCCCATCTCCCAGCTTCCTCCAGGGCAGGGCACTAGAGTGCATCATCAAACGAGGAAATTGATCCAGACCCCTTCCCATCTCCCAGCTTCCTCCAGGGGGACACTAGAGTGCATCATCAAACGAGGAAATTGGTCCAGACCCCTTCCCATCTCCCAGCTTCCTCCAGGGGGACACTAGAGTGCATCATCAAACGAGGAAATTGATCCAGACCCCTTCCCATCTCCCAGCTTCCTCCAGGGGGACACTAGAGTGCATCATCAAACCAGGAAATTGATCCAGACCCCTTCCCATCTCCCAGCTTCCTCCAGGGTGGGGCACTAGAGTGCATCATCAAACCAGGAAATTGATCCAGACCCCTTCCCATCTCCCAGCTTCCTCCAGGGGGACACTAGAGTGCATCATCAAATCAGGAAATTGATCCAGACCCCTTCCCATCTCCCAGCTTCCTCGAGGGCAGGGCACTAGAGTGCATCATCAAACCAGGAAATTGATCCAGACCCCTTCCCATCTCCCAGCTTCCTCCAGGGGGGACACTAGAGTGCATCATCAAACCAGGAAATTGATCCAGACCCCTTCCCATCTCCCAGCTTCCTCCAGGGGGACACTAGAGTGCATCATCAAATCAGGAAATTGATCCAGACCCCTTCCCATCTCCCAGCTTCCTCCAGGGCGGGGCACTAGAGTGCATCATCAAACGAGGAAATTGATCCAGACCCCTTCCCATCTCCCAGCTTCCTCCAGGGGGGACACTAGAGTGCATCATTAAACCAGGAAATTGATCCAGACCCCTTCCCATCTCCCAGCTTCCTCCAGGGGGGGCACTAGAGTGCATCATCAAACCAGGAAATTGATCCACACCCCTATTTCGCTGAGGCAGGAGTGCCTTTGCCTCCCACACAGTGTTGCCCTCCAGCCCATGCGGTGTTGACAATGTGCCATTCTTTATTTATTTATTTATTATTATACTTTAAGTTTTAGGGTACATGTGCACAATGTGCAGGTTAGTTACATATGTATACATGTGCCATGCTGGTGCGCTGCACCCACAAACTCGTCAGCTAGCATTAGGGCATTAGGTATATCTCCCAGTGCTATCCCTCCCCCCTCCTCCCACCCCACAACAGTCCCCAGAGTGTGATGTTCCCCTTCCTGTGTCCTTGTGTTCTCATTGTTCAATTCCCACCTGTGAGTGAGAATATGCGGTGTTTGGTTTTTTGTTCTTGCGATAGTTTACTGAGAATGATGATTTCCAATTTCATCCATGTCCCTACAAAGGACGCGAACTCATCATTTTTTATGGCTGTGTAGTATTCCATGGTGTATATGTGCCACATTTTCTTAATCCAGTCTATCATTGTTGGACATTTGGGTTGGTTCCAAGTCTTTGCTATCGTGAATAATGCTGCAATAAACATACGTGTGCATGTGTCTTTATAGCAGCATGATTTATAGTCCTTTGGGTATATACCCAGTAATGGGATTGCTGGGTCAAATGGTATTTCTAGTTCTAGATCCCTGAGGAATCGCCACACTGACTTCCACAATGGTTGAACTAGTTTACAGTCCCACCAACAGTGTAAAAGTGTTCCTGTTTCTCCACATCCTCTCCAGCACCGGTTGTTTCCTGACTTTTTAATGATCGCCATTCTAACTGGTGTGAAATGGTATCTCATCGTGGTTTTGATTTGCATTTCTCTGATGGCCAGTGATGGTGAGCATTTTTTCATGTGTTTTTTGGCTGCATAAATGTCTTCTTTTGAGAAGTGTCTGTTCATGTCCTTTGCCCACTTTTTGATGGGGCTGTTTGTTTTTTTCTTGTAAATTTGTTTGAGTTCATTGTAGATTCTGGATATTAGCCCTTTGTCAGATGAGTAGGTTGCGAAAATTTTCTCCCATTTTGTAGTTGCCTGTTCACTCTGATGGTAGTTTCTTTTGCTGTGCAGAAGCTCTTTAGTTTAATTAGATCCCATTGGTCAATTTTGTCTTTTGTTGCCATTGCTTTTGGTGTTTTAGACATGAAGTCCTTGCCCATGCCTATGTCCTGAATGGTAATGCCTAGGTTTTCTTCTAGGGTTTTTATGGTTTTAGGTCTAACGTTTAAGTCTTTAATCCATCTTGAATTGATTTTTGTATAAAGTGTAAGGAAGGGATCCAGTTTCAGCTTTCTACATATGGCTAGCCAGTTTTCCCAGCACCATTTATTAAATAGGGAATCCTTTCCCCATTTCTTGTTTTTCTCAGGTTTGTCAAAGATCAGATAGTTGTAGATATGCGGCATTATTTCTGAGGGCTCTGTTCTGTTCCATTGATCTATCCAGGAGAACTTCCCCAATCTAGCAAGGCAGGCCAACATTCAGATTCAGGAAATACAGAGAACGCCACAAAGATACTCCTCGAGAAGAGCAACACCAAGACACATAATTGTCAGATTCACCAAGGTTGAAATGAAGGAAAAAATGTCAGGGGCAGCCAGAGAGAAAGGTCGGGTTATCCTCAAAGGGAAGCCCATCAGACTAACAGCAGATCTCTCGGCAGAAACTCTACAAGCCAGAAGAGAGTGGTGGCCAATATTCAACATTCTTAAAAGAATTTTCAACCCAGAATTTGATATCCAGCCAAACTAAGCTTCATAAGTGAAGGAGAAATAAAATACTTCACAGACAGGCAACTGCTGAGAGATTTTGTCACCACCAGACCTGCCCTAAAAGAGCTCCTGAAGGAAGCGCTAAACATGGAAAGGAACAACCGGTACCAGCCACTGCAAAATCATGCCAAAATGTAAAGACCATCAAGACTACGAAGAAACTGCATCAACTAACGAGCAAAATCACCAGCTAACATCATAATGACAGGATCAAATTCACACATAACAATATTAACTTTAAATGTAAATGGACTAAATGCTCCAATTAAAAGACACAGACTGGCAAATTGGATAAAGAGTCAAGACCCATCAGTGTGCTGTATTCAGGAAACCCATCTCACGGGCAGAGACACCACATAGGCTCAAAATGAAAGGATGGAGGAAGATCTACCAAGCAAATGGAAAACAAAAAAAGGCAGGGGTTGCAATCCTAGTCTCTCATAAAACAGACTTTAAACCAACAAAGATCAAAAGAGACAAAGAAGGCCATTACTTAATGGTAAAGGGATCAATTCAACAAGAGCTAACTATCCTAAATATATATGCACCCAATACAGGAGCACCCAGATTCATAAAGCAAGTCCTGAGTGACCTACAAAGAGACTTAGACTCCCACACATTAATAATGGGAGACTTTAACACCCCACTGTCAACATTAGACAGATCAATGAGACAGAAAGTCAACAAGGATACTCAGGAATGGAACTCAGCTCTGCACCAAGCGGACCTAATAGACATCTACAGAACTCTCCACCCCAAATCAACTCTCCACCCCAAATCAACAGAATATACATTTTTTTCAGCACCACACCACATCTATTCCAAAATTGACCACATAGTTGGAAGTAAAGCTCTCCTCAGCAAATGTAAAAGAAATTATAACAAACTATCTCTCAGACCACAGTGCAATCAAACTAGAACTCTGGATTAAGAATCTCACTCAAAACCGCTCAACTACATGGAAACTGAACAACCTGCTCCTGAATGACTACTGGGTACATAACGAAATGAAGGCAGAAATAAAGATGTTCTTTGAAACCAACGAGAACAAAGACGCAACATACCAGAATCTCTGGGACACATTCAAAGCAGTGTGTAGAGGGAAATTTGTAGCACTAAATGCCCACAAGAGAAAGCAGGAAAGATCCAAAATTGACACCCTAACATCACAATTAAAAGAACTAGAAAAGCAAGAGCAAACACATTCAAAAGCTAGCAGAAGGCAAGAAATAACGAAAATCAGAGCAGAACTGAAGGAAATAGAGACACAAAAAACCCTTCAAAAAATTAACAAATCCAGGAGCTGGTTTTTTGAAAGGATCAACAAAATTGATAGACTGCTAGCAAGACTAATAAAGAAAAAAAGAGAGAAGAATCAAATAGATGCAATAAAAAATGACAAAGGGGATATCACCACCGATCCCACAGAAATACAAACTACCATCAGAGAATACTACAAACACCTCTATGCAAATAAACCAGAAAATCTAGAAGAAATGGATAAATTCCTCGACACATACACTCTCCCAAAACTAAACCAGGAAGAAGTTGAATCTCTGAATAGACCAATAACAGGAGCTGAAATTGTGGCAATAATCAATAGCTTACCAACGAAAAAGAGTCCAGGACCAGATGGATTCACAGCCAAATTCTACCAGAGGTACAAGGAGGAACTGGTACCATTCCTTCTGAAACTATTCCAATCAATAGAAAAAGAGGGAATCCTCTCTAACTCATTTTATGAGGCCAGCATCATCCTGATACCAAAGCCGGGCAGAGACACAACCAAAAAAGAGAATTTTAGACCAATATCCTTGATGAACATTGATGCAAAAATCCTCAATAAAATACTGGCAAACCAAATCCAGCAGCACATCAAAAAGCTTATCCACCATGATCAAGTGGGCTTCATCCCTGGGATGCAAGGCTGGTTCAATATACGCAAATCAATAAATGTAATCCAGCACATAAACAGAACCAAAGACAAAAACCACATGATTATCTCAATAGATGCAGAAAAGGCCTTTGACAAAATTCAACAACTCTTCATGCTAAAAACTCTCAATAAATTAGGTATTGATGGGACGTATCTCAAAATCATAAGCGCTATCTATGACAAACCCACAGCCAATATCATACTGAATGGGCAAAAACTGGAAGCATTCCCTTTGAAAACTGGCACAAGACAGGGATGCCCTCTCTCACCACTCCTATTCAACATAGTGTTGGAAGTTCTGGCCAGGGCAATTAGGCAGGAGAAGGAAATAAAGGGTATTCAGTTAGGAGAAGAGGAAGTCAAATTGTCCCTGTTTGCAGACGACATGATTGTATATCTAGAAAACCCCATTATCTCAGCCCAAAATCTCCTTAAGCTGATAAGCAACTTCAGCAAAGTCTCAGGATACAAAATCAATGTACAAAAATCACGAGCATTCTTATACACCAACAACAGACAAACAGAGAGCCAAATCATGAGTGAACTCCCATTCACAATTGCTTCAAAGAGAATAAAATACCTAGGAATCCAACTTACAAGGGATGTGAAGGTCCTCTTCAAGGAGAACTACGAACCACTGCTCAGTGAAATAAAAGAGGATACAAACAAATGGGAGAACATTCCATTCTCATGAGTAGGAAGAATCAATATCGTGAAAATGGCCATACTGCCCAAGGTAATTTACAGATTCAATGCCATCCCCATCAAGCTACCAATGACTTTCTTCACAGAATTGGAAAAAACTACTTTAAAGTTCATATGGAACCAAAAAAGAGCCCACATCGCCAAGTCAATCCTGAGCCAAAAGAACAAAGCTGGAGGCATCACACTACCTGACTTCAAACTATACTACAAGGCTACAGTAACCAAAACAGCATGGTACTGGTACCAAAACAAGAGATATAGATCAATGGGACAATATGCCATTCTTAAGATGGCTCCATTGAGGTCTCTGGAATTTTCCACCAGGCCACTGTACCCATTTTCCAAGTTTTCTGACGTTATCCTTTACTTTTTTTCTTTTTAAAATAATGTCAAACTAAGAGAAAAGTTACAAGGAGCTCCTAAATATCTTTCTTCTGGATTCAGCAATTGTTAACATTTTGCTATATAACTTTATTATTTCCTCCCCACTCCCCCCCGACCTTTAGAACAATTTGTAAGTTGTAGACATAATGTCCTTTACCCCTAAATATTTTAGTATATATTTCTTAAGAAAAAGGGCATTCAATTCTATTACCATAGATCAAAATCAGAAAATTTAACATCCATACAGTAATCTATAATATATAGGCTTTTAAAGATTTTCATAATGTAGCCATTTTAAAGTGATAAAATATTGTCAGTAGTTGGGAAAGTACACATAAATTAGTAAGTCAGTAAAGCTGAATACAAAATATACATGTTCAAAATTTAAAAAAAAAGCAAAATATACACGTTGATTTTTTTAAATGTTAACATTCTGTATTATGTAAATTCACATGTATAATTACCAGAAGTTATCCTGCAGAGTGTGAATATTTTCTTCAAAAGAAGAAAAAAATTAAATAAAAAGAATAGCTATAATACTTATCATTATTATTTAATTAATAAAAAGATATCTGTTTGTAGTAGCCATGTTTTCCAAATCTGAATCCATGATATCTAGTCCTATAGAGTTAGACAAATTAAATCACATTTTTCTATTCACTTAAGTCATCTTATTGAATCAATAATAAAAGATACTGACTTGGAATAAACAGGACAAGTGGGTGAGGACACCCCTCACAATCCTCATCCTCCATCATAGATCCTTCATCTTAAACTAATGGAAATGCAGAAAAACTCCCAGGACATCTGTGCACTCAAGTGGAATTCTAGATCCGGCAGATTCAAGCTCAATCAGCCAGGCTTGTGTGGTTGTGGGCTCAGTCCAAGGCCTGGCTTTGGCAGTGACTTCCAGATGATAAGAGTAAAAACAGTGCAGATTGTATTTATTCTTAGGAAGGACCAAAGTTTCTAGAAACCTTGCCAAAAAATGAAAGACATGGAACTCCTGAAAGGTAAAAAGGGAAGAGGGTTAAGTACAAGATTGAGTAGATGTGTCTAAAGTTGACATTTAATTTTTAGTGATCATTTTTTACAAATCAGTTTTTACAGATGTTTTTAACCATTGCAACGTGTTATTTAAAAAAAAATTTTTTTAAAGGCCAGAAATAGGTAGTTATCATTTCTGTCATTAGGGCTTATCTCTTCCAGTATTTATTAAAATATATAAGCAGTTCAAGAGGGTAGATCTTATGTTAAGTATTCTTTTTTGTTTGTTTGTTTGTTTGTTTTTGAAATGGAGTCTCACTCTGTCGCCAGGCTGGAGTACAGTGGTGCAATCTCGGCTCACTGCCATCTCCACCTCCTGGGTTCAAGCAATTTTTCTACCTCAGCCTCTCAAGTAGCTGGGACTACAGGCGCACACCACCACAACCTGCTAATTTTTGTATTTTTTTAGTAGAGACAGGGTTTCACCATATTGGCCATGCTGGTCTTGAACTCCTGACCTTGTGATCCGCCCACCTTGGCCTCCCAAAGTGCTGGGATTACAGGCGTGAGCCACCGTGCCCAGCAAGCATTCTTACCACAAGTAATAATAATCGTAACAACAGGGGTGGGAGGAGGCTTGGGGAGGTGGTGGATACACTTACTGCCTTGATGGTGGTGAGGGCTTTGTGGGTGTGTACTTATCCTCAAACGCATCAAGATGTATACATTAATTATGTAGGGCTTTTAAAATGTCAATCATACCTCAATAAAGTGGGTTTTTAAAAAATAAGATATGAGTAGTTCAATTTAACAAGTATGTTGTGGGTGCCAATTTACATGCAAATTATGATTTAGTATCAACCCCAGCATGGTGTGTTTGGCTCAGGGTCATTTTGTAGACATTTGGCAATAGACAGAATTCACATTTGTTAGGAATAGAAGTAATACATAGGAAAATCTTTGCTTATTTTTTAGATGTTTGGAAAGGAATTAAGTGGCAAATATTGTTTTAAAATACTTGCCTGTCATATGACTTCTTTATCAGTGGCTTCCAAGTAACAGCCTGGGAACCAGCGCTCATCTAGTGTTGCAGTGGCCTAAAGCAAAAAATAAAGACAATATAGTCTGCCTGCCTGCCTGCCTGTCTCTCTCTCTATCTATCTGATGTAAGGTTACCAACTGTCCTTTCTTAGAAAGTACTGCCTATATGCTGCTATTTTATTCTTATAAAATTTGGGGGTATAAAATACAATTTTCTGGCTGGGCGCCATGCCTCATGCCTATAAGCCCAGCACTTTGGGAGGTAGAGGTGGGTGGATCACTTGAGGCCAAGAGTTCGAGACTAGCCTGGCCAACATGGCAAAACCCCACCTCTACTTAAAATACAAAAATTAGCTCGGTGTGGTGGCGTGTGCCTATAGTCCCAGCTACTTAGGAGGCTGAGACACAAGAATCACTTGAGTCCAGAAGGTGCAGGTTGCAGTGAGCTGAGATGGCGCCACTGCACTTTAGCCTGGGTGACAGAGGGAGACTCTGTCTCAAAAAGCAAACAAAAAAACCCTTTATTTGTTTTTTTTTTAGGAACTCGTGGTAAGAATAGAAAGTAGCAAAATAAAGTTAACAATCCTCTATTGGTTGTCCATTCTTCTTTTTCTTACATTTTCTTACTGATGGAATTCAAAAAATTCTGGGAACCATTGCAGGAAAATAATGGTATAACAGAAAGAGTTCTAGTTTAAGAAAAGCAGACGTCTACATATGTGTTGGGGCAGGTTAGAGAACCTCTGAGTCCTCATTTCTTGAGGTGTAAAATAGTAGTAGTCATACCTACATGAAGGATTATTGTGAGGAGCAGGTGACATATTAGTTGGTATCAAAGTGCTATCAAAAATTGGATTGTGTGAAAGCACTTTTTAAATTCTAAAGCACTGTGTAAATACAAGGTGCTATTATTAGCTGGGATTTAAATTCTGGAAAACACCAGTCAGATAGATGATGACTTGCTTCCAGATTCAAAACACATATGTTATCCAGGTAGCAGTATGTCTTTCATCGTCCAGAGCAAGTGAGTTATGCTAACAAAGCTGGTTTTTCTTCACCTGCCAGGGTGAATGGTGAAACCATCGTATTGGGTTACATTGAGTACTCTCTTATCTGTGACTTAGGAATGAACTTTGAAATGATGTTTTTAAAAAAATTCTTGAACATTTGCAAAGATCACTCAAGTATGGGGTTTATTTTTCTTTGTTTTTACAGCCAAAGAAGCCTAAAGCCCCAGACAATCCATTTCATGGCATTGTTTCCAAGTGTTTTGAGCCTCATCTCTACGTGTATATCGAATCCCAAGACAAGTGAGTGAGGAACATTCGCTGTTTTCTGCCTGCATTTCTCGCCGCTCTGGTCATGACTGGGTCTTAGGAGCGCACAGCTCCTTCCGGGGCTGAAAGATGGTTGTGGCATGCCTGTGACCCTCCCTAGAAACCCATTAGGGGTATTTTTACATCTTTTGAATGTTATCATTAATTGTGTCTATAAATCTCAGAGCCTGAGTTTGCCCCTAATAAGGTCCCCAGTGGATCCCTACATTGGGATCCCTTCCTATGTGGGTGTTGAGCCCTGACATATATCAGCCCACAAAGCTTTACAGTGTCAGGCACTGGGTATTGGAAGAAAGCCTAGTCTCTAATATATATGTTTTCAAGTATAATTTATCCTTTTATTTTGAAATAATTTAGACTTATAAAAAAGTTACAAAAATAGGACAAAAAATTTTCACATGCCCTCCTCAGAGAATGTTAACATCTTACATAACAACCAGAGTTACCAAAATCGAGAAGGTAATACTGTCCCATTAATGCCCCTTTTTCTGGTCCAGGACCCAATAATCATGCATTTCGTTGTCAGATCTCTTTGATCTTGGTCTCCTTTAATCTTGAGTAGTTCCTCATCTTTTTATTCCCTCCCCTCCCCTCCTTTTTTGAGACAGAGTCTCACGCTGTCCCCCAGGCTGGGGTGCAGTGGTGAGATTATGACTTACTGCATCCTCCATCTCCTGGGCTCAAGCAATCCTCCCACTGCAGTCTCCCAAGTAGCTGGGACCACAGGCACATGCCACCCTCTATTTTTAGTAGAGATTCTGTCTCCCTGTGTTGCCCAGGCTGGTCTGGAACTCCTGGGCTCAAATGATCCACCCACTTGAGCCTCCCAAAGTGCTGGAATTACAGGCATGAGCCACCTTGCCCAGCCATTCCTCAAGTTTTCTTTGTCTTTCACGACCTCAGTGTGTACTGGCCAGGTATTTTGTACAATGTCCTCAGTTTTTGTTTGTTTTTTCTTGATGAAATCAATTTTGGGCAAGAACACCATAAAAGTGGCATTGTATCCCCAGTGCATTGTGTCAAGAGGCACATCACATTGATTTGTCCCATTATTGGGGACTTCGATTACTTGCTTTAGGTGGTACCTGCCAACTGTCTTCAATGTGAAGTTACTATTTTTCTCCTGGTAATTAATAAGTATCTTATGGGATGATACTTTGTAAATATCCTGCTCTCATCAAACTTTTGCCCACTCATTTCGCATCCCTTGATTGATTCCTGACGGAAGCGTTGTTTCTGTGGCATTTGCCAAATGTCGATTGTCTATTTTCATCATTTCTTCTACATTTACTAATTGGAGTTCTACTATATGGAAGAATTTTCCCTCTCCCCTATTTGTTTATATATCAGTATGAACTCATGGATTCTGATTTTATTTTATGGATCATCTATATAATACAGTATATGCTTTTCACGTGGCCAGGTACAGTGGGTCACACCTGTAATCCCAGCACTTTGGGAGGCCAAGGTAGGAGGAGCTCTTGAGCCCAGGATTCAAGACCAGCCTGGGCAACATGCTGAAACCTCATCTTTATAAATAATTTTTTTAAAAAAACTAGTCAGGTGTGGTGATGCACACCTGTAGTCCCAGCTACTCGAGAGGCTGAGGTGGGAAAATCACTGGAGCCCAGGAGGCAGAGGCTGCAATTAGCCGTCACTATGCCACCCAGCTTGGTGACAGAGACTTCGTCTCAAAAGAAAAAAAGAAAAGAAAAGCAAACAAAATATACTATATGCTTTTCACAAACTTGTAGCCTCCAAATATTTTTATAAAGCATCTCACTGCGGCCAGGTTTCTTCCCTCCCACCCTGTTTTTAAAAAAATCCCAAAGACTTCCAAACTAACAGCCGAAGACTGTGTTCGTGCTCCAGTGTCCGTTGTGTGCGTGAGGGGGCATTAGAAAAGGAGGAAGACTCCTCCTCATCCCTGCGTCCTTGTCCGCAGCCAAGCCCTTCCACGTTGGAAGGCAGGTTTTGGAAAGGTCAAGATGATTGTAACGAGATGACTGGAGACAGACTGGCCTGGGCTCCCAGAGGAAGCCTCACAGTCTAAAGAACGCACTCGGAAGGGACCAGAAGGTGGCTCCCATGGGGAGAGCAACAGCGGCTGCAGGAAAGTCCTGAGGGAAGTTCTTCAGGAACACACTGAGGTTCTGAGGGAAGATCTCTGGAAACACATTGGGTTCTGAGGGAGCTTCTTGGGGAATGCATTAGGTACTGAGGGAAGTTATCTGGGAACATATTAGGTCCTGAGGGAGGTTCCCTGGGAACGCATTAGGTACTGAGGGAAGTTCTCTGGGAATGCATTGAGGTTCTGAGGGAGGTTCCCTGGGAACGCATGAGGTCCTGATGGAGGTTCTCTGGGAACGCATTGAGGTTCTGAGGGAAGTTCTCTGGGAACGCATTGAGGTTCTGAAGGAGGTTCTCTGGGAATGCATTGAGGTCCTGAGGGAAGTTCTCTGGGAACACATTAGATTCTGAGGGAGGTTCTATGGGAACCCATTAGGTTCTGAGGGAGATTCTCTGGGAACGCATTTGGTTCAGAAGGGAGTTCTCTGGGAACGCATTGAGGTCCTGAGTGAGGTTCTCCGGGAACACATTAGGTTCTGAGGGAGGTTCTTTGGGAACGCATTCAGGTTCTGAGGGAGGTTATCTGGGAATGCATTAGGTTCTGATGGAAGTTCCCTGGGAACGCATTAGGTTCTGAGGAAAGTTCTCTGGGAATGTATTGAAGTTCTGAGGGAGGTTCTCTGGGAACGCATTAGGTCCTGAGGAAGGTTCTCTGGGAACGCATTGAGGTTCTGAGAGAGGTCTCTGGGAATGCATTAGGTCCTGGGGGAAGTTCTCTGGGAACGCATTAGGTCGTGAGGGAAGGTCTCTGGGAACGCATTGAGGTTCTGAGGGAGGTTCTGTGGGAATGCATTATGTCCTCAGGGAGGTTCTCTGGGAACACACTGAGGTTCTGAGGGAGGTTCTCTGGGAATGCACTGAGGTTCCGAAGGAGGTTCTCTGGGAACTCACTGAGGTTCTGAGGGAGGTTCTCTGGGAACATATTAGGTTCTGAGGGAAGTTCTTTGGGAACGCATTAGGTTCTGAGGGAGATTCTCTGGGAACGCATTGAGGTCCTGAGGGAAGTTCTTTGGGAACGCATTAGGTTGTGAGGGAAGTTCTGTGGGAACGCATTAGGTTCTGAGGGAGGTTCTCTGCTAATGCACTGAGGTTCTGAGGGAGGTTCTCTGGGAACACTTTAGATTCTGAGGGAAGTTCTCTAGGAACGCATTAGGTTCTAAGGGAGGTTCTCTGGAAACACATTAGGTCCTGAGGGAGGTTCTCTGGGAACGCATTAGGTCCTGAGGGAAGTTCTCTGGGAACGCATTAGGTCCTGAGGGAAGTTCTCTGGGAACACATTAGGTTCTGAGGGAAGTCCTCTGAGAATGCATGGAGATTCTGAGGGAGGTTCTCTGGAAACGCATTAGGTTCTAAGAGAAGTTCTCTGGGAACGCATTGAGATTCTGAGGGAGGTTATCTCGGAACGCATTAGGTTCTGAGGGAGGTTCTCTGGGAACGCATTGGGTTCTAAGGGAGGTTCTCTGGGAACACGTTAGGGTCTGAGGGAGTTTCTCTGGGACTGCGTTGAGGTTCTGAGGGAAGTTCCCTGGGAACACATTAGCGTCTGAAGGAGGTTCTCTGGGAACGCATTGAGCTTCTGTGGAGGTTCTCTGGGAACACATTGGGTCCTGAGTGATGTTCTCTGGGAATGCACTAGGTTCTGAGGGAGGTTCTTTGGGAATGCATTAGATGATGAGGGAAGTTCTGTGGGAACGCATTGAGGTCCTGAGGGAGGTTCTCTGGGAACGCACTGGGTTGTGAGGGAGGTTCTCTGGGGACACATTGGGTTCTGAGGGAGGTTCTCTGGGAATGCATTAGGTCCTCAGGGAGGTTCTCTGGGAACACACTGAGGTTTTGAGGGAGGTTCTCAGAATGCACTGAGGTTCTGAGGGAGGTTCTCTGGGAACACATTAGGTTCTGAGTGATGTTCTCTGGGATGCATTAGGTTCTGAGGGAGGTTCTCTGGGAACACATTAGGTTCTGAGGGAAGTTCTCCTGGAACTCATTAGTTCCTGAGGGATGTTTTCTGGGAACGCATTAGGTTTGAAGGCAGGTTCTCTGGGATTGCACTGAGGTTCTGAGGGAGGTTCTCTGGGAATGCATTAGATTCTGAGGGAGGTTCTCTGGGAACGCATTAGGTTCTGAAGGAGGTTCTCTGGGAACACATTAGGTTCTGAGGGAGGGTCTCTGGGAACACATTGAGGTCCTCAGGGAGGTTATCTGGGAATGCACTGAGGTTCCAAGGGAGGTTGTCTGCGAATGTACTGAGGTTCTGAGGGAGGTTCTCTGGGAACGCATTGAGGTCCTAAGGGAAGTTCTCTGGGAACGCAGTAGGTTCTGAGGGAATTTCTGTGGGAACGCATTAGATTCTGAGGGAGGATCTCTGGGAACGCATTTAAGTTCTGAGGAAAGTTCTCTAGGAACGCATTAGGTTCTGAGGAAGGTTTTCCGGGGATGCATTAGGTTCTGAGGGAAGTCCTCTGTGAATGCATTACGTCCTTAGGGAGGTTCTCTGGGAACGCATTAGGTTCTGAGGGAAGTTCTCTGGGAATGCCTTAGGTTCTGAGGGAAGTTCTCTGGGAATGCATTCAGGTTCTGAGGGAGGTTCTCTGGGAACGCAGTAGGTTGTGTGGGAGCTTCTTTGGGAACGCATTATGTTCTGAGGGAGATTCTCAGGGAATGCATTAGGTTTTGAGGGAAGTTCTCTGGGAATGCATTAGGTTCTGAGGAAGGTCCTCTGTGACCTCAGGGTTCTCAGGGAGGTTCTCTGGGAACGAATTAGGTTCTTAGGGAAGTTCTCTGGGAACCCATTAGGTTCTGAGAGGGGTTCTCTGGGAACGCATTGAGGTCCTGAGGGAGGTTCTCTGGAAACGAATTGAGATCCTGAGGGAAGTTCTCTGGGAACGCATCAGGTCCTGAGTGAAGATCTGTGGGAATGCATTAGGTTCTGAGGGAGGTTCTCTGCGAACGCACTAGCTTTTAAGGGAGGTTCTCTGGAAACGCATTAGGTCCTGAGGGAGGTTCTCTGGGAATGCATTAGGTCCTGAGGGAAGTTCTCTGGGAACACATTAGGTCTTGAGTGAAGTCCTGTGGGAACGCATTAGGTTGTGAGGGAAGGTCTCTGGGAATGCATTAAGTTCTGAGGGAGGTTATCTGGGAACGCATTAGGTTCTGTGGGAGGTTCTCTGGGTACCCATTAGGTCTTGAGGGAGGGTCTCTGGGAACGCGTAGAGGTCTTGATCTCTGCGAATGCGTTGAGGTTCTGAGGGAGGTTCTCTTGGAATGCATTAGGTTCTGAGGGAGGTTCTCTTGGAATGCATTAGGTTCTGAGGGAGGTTCTCTGGGAACGCATTGAGGTCCTAAGGGAAGTTCTCTGGTAATGCATCAGGTTCTGAGGGAATTTCTCTGCGAACGCATTAGATTCTGAGGGAGGATCTCTGGGAACGCATTAGGTTCTGAGGGAAGTTCTCTAGGAACGCATTCTGTCCTGAGGGAGGTTCTCTGGGAACACATTAGGTTCTGAGGGAGGTTCCCTGGGAACACATTAGGTCCTGAGGGAGGTTCTCTGGCAATGCACTGAGGTTCTGAGGGAGGTTCTCTGGGAAGGAATTAGGTTCTGAGGGAAGTTCTCTGGGAATGCATTAGGTTCTGAGGGAGGTTCTCTGGGAACGCATTAGGTTCTGAGGGAGGATCTCTGGGAACACCTTAGGTCCTGAGGGAGGATCTCTGGGAACAGATTGAGGTCCTGAGGGAAGTTCTCTGGGAATTCACTGAGATTGTGAGGGAGGTTCTCTGGAAACGCACTGAGGTTCTGAGGGAGGTTCTCTGGGAACGCATTAGGTTCTGAGGGAATTTCTCTGGGAACGCATTAAATTCTGAGGGAGGATCTCTGGGAACGCATTAGTTTCTGAGGGAAGTTGTCTGGGAATGCATTAGGTTTTGAGGGAGCTTCTCTGGGAAGGAATTAGGTTCTGAGGGAGGTTCTCTGGGAACACATTAGGTTCTGAGGGAGGTTCTCTGGGAACGCATTAGGTTCTGAGGGATGTTCTCTGGGACCGCATTAGGTCCTGAGGGAGGTTTTCTGGTAATGCACTGAGGTTCTGAGGGAGGTTCTCTGGGACCGCATTAGGTCCTGAGGGAGGTTTTCTGGTAACCCACTGAGATTCTGTTGGGGGTTCTCTGGGAATGCATTAGATTCTGAGGGATGTTCTCTGGGACCACATTAGGTCCTGACGGTGGTTCTCTGGTAATGCACTGAGGTTCTGAGGGAGGTTCTCTGGCAAGGAATTAGGTTATGAGGGAGGTTCCCTGGGAACGCATTAGGTCCTGAGGGTGGTTCTCTGTTAATGCACTCAGGTTCTGACGGAGGTTCTCTGGGAAGGAATTAGGTTCTGAGGGAGGTTCTCTGAGAACGCATTAGGTCCTGAGGGTGGTTCTCTGGTAATGCACTGAGGTTCTGAGGGAGGTTCTCTGGGAAGGAATTAGGTTCTGAGGGAAGTTCTCTCGGAATGCATTAGGTTCTGAGGGAGGTTCTCTGGGAACACATTAGGTCATGAGGGAGGATCTCTGAGAACACATTGAGGTCCTGAGGGAAGTTCTCTGGGAATGCACTGAGATTGTGAGGGAGGTTCTCTGGAAACGCACTGAGGTTCTGAGGGAAGTTCTGTGGGAACGCATTAGGTTCTGAGGGATGTTCTCTGGGACCACATTAGGTCCTGAGGGTGGTTCTCCGGTAATGCACTGAGATTCTGAGGGAGGTTCTCTGGGAAGGCATTAGGTTCTGAGGGAATTTCTCTGGGAACGCATTAAATTCTGAGGGAGGATCTCTGGGAACGCATTAGGTTCTGAGGGAAGTTCTCTAGGAATACATTAGGTTCTGAGGGAGGTTCTCTGGGAACGCATTAGGTTCTGAGGGAGGTTCTCTGGGAACGCATTAGGTTCTGAGGGAGATTCTCTGGGAACGCATTAGGTTCTGAGGGAGGTTCTCTGGGAACGCATTAGGTTCTGAGGGATGTTCTCTGGGACCGCATTAGGTCCTGAGGAAGGTTCTCTGGTAATGCACTGAGGTTCTGAGGGAGGTTCTCTGGGACCGCATTAGGTCCTGAGGGAGGTTTTCTGGTAACCCACTGAGATTCTGTTGGGGGTTCTCTGGGAACGCATTAGGTTCTGAGGGAGGATCTTTGGGAACGCCTTAGGTTCTGAAGGAAGTTCTCTACAAACGCATTCCATTCTGAGGGAGGTTCTCTGGGAACGCATTAGGTTCTGAGGGATGTTCTCTGGGACCGCATTAGGTCCTGCGGGAGGTTTTCTGGTAATGCACTGAGATTCTGTTGGGGGTTCTCTAGGAACGCATTAGGTTCTGAGGGATGTTCTCTGGGATCGCATTAGGTTCTGAGGGAGGTTCTCTGGTAATTGACTGAGGTTCTGAGGGAGGTTCTCTGGGAAGGAATTAGGTTCTCAGGGAAGTTGTCTGGGAATGCATTGGCTTCTGAGGGAGCTTCTCTGGAAACGCACTGAGGTTCTGAGGGAGGTTCTCTGGGAACGCACTGAGGTTCTGAGGGAATTTCTCTGGGAACGCATTAAATTCTGAGGGAGGATCTCTGGGAACGCATTAGGTTCTGAGGGAAGTTCTCTAGGAATGCATTAGGTTCTGAGAGAGGTTCTCTGGGAAGGAATTAGGTTCTGAGGGAAGTTGTCTGGGAATGCATTACGTTCTGAGGGAGCTTCTCTGGAAACGCACTGAGGTTCTGAGGGAGGTTCTCTAGGAACGCATTAGGTTCTGAGAGAATTTCTCTGGGAACGCATTAAATTCTGAGGGAGCATCTCTGGGAACGCATTAGGTTCTGAGAGAATTTCTCTGGGAACGCATTAAATTCTGAGGGAGGATCTCTGGGAACGCATCAGGTTCTGAGGGATGTTCTCTAGGAATGCATTAGATTCTGAGGGAGATTCTTTGGGAACGCATTAGGTTCTGAGGGAATTTCTCTGGGAAAGAATTACCTGCTTAGGAAGGTTTTCTGGTAATGCAGTGAGGTTCTGAGGGAGGTTGCCTGGGAACGCATTAGGTTCTGAGGGAGGTTCTCTGAAAACGCATTGAGGTCCTAAGGGAAGTTCTTTGGGAACGCATTATGTTCTGAGGGAATTTCTCTGTGAGTGTGTTAGATTCTGAAGGAGGATCTTTGGGAACGCATTAGGTCCTGAGGGAGGATCTTTGGGAACGCATTAGGTTCTGAGGGATGTTCTCTGGGACCACATTAGGTCCTGAGGGTGGTTCTCTGGTAATGCACTGAGATTCTGAGGGAGGTTCTCTGGGAATGCATTAGGTTCTGAGGGAATTTCTCTGGGAACGCATTAAATTCTGAGGGAGGATCTCTGGGAACGCATTAGGTTCTGGGGGAAGTTCTCTGGGAATGAATTACGTGCTTAGGAAGGTTCTCTGGTAATGCACTGAGGTTCTGAGGGAGGTTGCCTCGAAATGCATTACTTTGTGAGGGAGATTCTCTGGGAACGCATTGAGGTCCTAAAGGAAGTTCTTTGGGAATGCATTAGGTTCTGAGGGAGTTTCTCTGCGAACGTATTAGATTCTGAGGGAGGATCTCTGGGAACGCATTAGGTTCTGAGGGATGTTCTCTGGGACCGCATTAGGTCCTGACGGAGGTTTTCTGGTAATGCACTGAGATTCTGTTGGGGGTTCTCTGGGAACGCATTAGGTTCTGAGGGAGGCTCTGTGGTAACGCATTAGGTTTGGAGGGATGTTCTCTGGGAACGCATTGAGGTCCTGAGGGAGGTTCTGTGGTAACTCATTGAGGTTCTGTGGGAGATTCTCTAGGAATGCATTGTGGTTCTGAGGGAGGTTCTCTGGGAACTCACTGAGTTCTGACAGAGGTTCTCTGGGAAAGATTAGGTTCTGAGGGAGGTTCTCTGGGAACGCATTGACGTCCTGAGGGAAGTTCTCTGGAAATGCATTAGGTTCTGAAGGAGGTTTTCTGGGAAAGCATTAGGTCTGAGGGAAGTTCTTTGGGAACACATTAGGTTCTGAGGGAGGTTCTCTGGGAATGCTTTAGGTTCTCTGAGAGGTTCTCTGGGAACGCACTAGATCCTGAGCGAGGTTTCTGGGAATGCATTGAGGTCCTGAGGGAGGTTCTCTGCTAAGTCATTGAGGTTCTGAGGGAGGTTCTCTAGGAAAGCATTGAGGTTCTGAGGGAGGTTTTCTGGGAACGCATTAGGTTCTGAGGGAGGTTCTCTGTGAACGCTTTAGGTTCTGAGGGAGGTTCTCTGGGAATGCACTGAGGTTCTGAGGGAGGTTCTCTGGGCACATATTGGGTTCTGAGGGAGGTTCTCTGGAAATGCACTGAGGTTCTGAGGGAGGTTCTCTGGGCACGTATTGGGTTCTGAGGGAGGTTCTGTGGGAACGCATGGAGGTCCTGAGGGAGGTTCTCTGGGAATGCATTAGGTTCTGAAGAAATTTTTCTGGGAACGCATTAGATTCTGAGGGAGGATCTTTGGGACCACATTAGGTTCTGTGGGAAGTTCTCTGGGAATGCATTGAGGTCTGTGGGAGGTTCTCTGGGAACGCATTAGGTGCTGGAGGAGGTTCTGTGGGAATGCATTAGCTCCTGAGGGAGGTTCTCTGGGAACACATTAGGTGCTGAGGGAGATTCTCTGGGAATGCATTAGGTTCTGAGGTATGTTTTCTGGGAATGCATTGAGGTTCTGAGGGAGGTTCTCTGGCAATGCATTAGGTTCTGAGGGAGATTCTCTGGGAATGCATTAGGTCCTGAGGGAGGTTGTCTGGGAAAGCGTTAGGTTCTGAGGGAAGTTCTTTGGGAATGCATTGAGGTTCTCAGGGAAGTTATCTGAGAACGCATTAGGTTATGAGGCAGATTGTCTGGGAACACATTAGGTTCTGAGAGAGGTTCTCTGGGAACCATTTAGGTTTGAGGGAGGTTCTCTGTGAACACATTAGGTTCTGAGGGAGGTTCTTTGGAAACTCATTAGGTTCTGAGGGAGGTTCTCTGGGAACACATTGAGGTTCTGGGGTGGTTTTTCGGAACTCATTTGGTCCTGAGTGAAGTTCTCTGAGAACGCGTTAGGTTGTGAGGGAGGTTTTCTGGGAACGCATTAGGTTCTGAGGGAGGTTCTCTGCGAATGCATTAGGTTCTGAGTGAAGTTCTCTGGGAACACATTTAGGTCCTAAGGGAATTTCTCTGGGAACGCATTAGGGTCTCAGGGAGGTTCGCTGCGAATGCATTAGGTTCTGAGGGAAGTTCTCTGGGAACGCATTAGGTTCTGAGAGTTTTCTAGGAACGCATTAGGTCCTGAGGGAAGTCTTCTGGGACCGCATTAGGTTCTGAGGGAAGGTCTCTGGGACGCACTAGGTCCTGAGGGAGGTTCTCTGGGAAAGCATTAGATTCTGGGGGAGGTTCTCTGGGAACGCATTGAGGTTCTGAGGGAGGTTCCCTGGAACACATTAGATCCTGAGGGAATTTCTCTGGGAATGCATTAGGTTCTGAGGGAAGTTCTCTGGGAATGCATTGAGGTTCTGAGGAAGGTTCTCTGGGAACGCATTAGGTTCTGAGGGAGATTCTCTGGGAACACATTAGGTTCTGAGGGACATTCTCTGGGAACGCATTGAGGTTCTGAGGGAAGTTCTCTGGGAACGCGTTAGGTTCTGAGGGAAGTTCTCTGGGAACGTATTAGGTTTTTAGGGAGGCTCTCTGGGGTTGCATTTACGCATTTAGGTCTGATTGCACTTCACCCCTCCCCTTGTTTTTAATGCTTCTATCATGGGTGAGCACATTCTTAGTTTCAAACATGTTTCTTAAACCGTAACAGTAAGACAATGTTTCAATTAGAAACTTCACATGGAACTGTATTATTCACTCACGTGATTTTATGGACTGCTTCTATGCTTTTCATGCCCGATTACAAAGTACTTCATATTAAAATCTCAGAAAATGAACTTGCCCAGTAGCTTCTCCATCATCAAATGGAAGTCTCCCCATCAGCCCACCACCAAAGGCAAGTTGCCTTGCCGTCATTTGCCTTGCAAAGACCCAGTAGTGCCCTTGCTCTTGCCCAGTGGGCACGTGCCCAGCAGGCACACCGAGGTACAGTGGGGACTTCTGCCTCTTTGTCCTTGAGAGCACCCTGTCTTCTACATTCACAGTTTGCCTCCAGGAAGTTACTAAGACACCCCTGAGGGGCAGGAAAAAGGATTGGTTATTTGCCTATTAGAGTCACAGGTCTTTGAGGAACCCCCCTGGATGACTCTTTTCAGCCAAAGCCCCATCTTCTCTTAACCCAAATTTTTCGTTTTAAAAGGCTTAAAAGTTACTGGGTCCAGGGTTTATTTTTATTTATTTATTTTTGAGACGGGGTCTCAGTGTCAGCTAAGATGGAGTACAGAGGCGTGATCAGGACTCACTGTAGCCTCAACCTCCTGGGTTTCAGCAGTCTTTCCTACTCAGCCTCTCAAGTAGCTGAGACTACAGGCACACACCACCACACCTGGCTAATTTTTGTATTTTTTGTAGAGACGCAGTTTTGCCATGTTGCCCAGGCTGGTCTCGAACTCCTGGGCTTAAGAGGTCAGCCCACCTCCACCTCCCAAAGTGCTGGGATTACAGGCATGAGCCACCGCGCCCAGCCAAGGCCCAGGGTTTAAAGCACATGTCTGAGGTAGCCACATCCTTTCCCAAAACCTACCTGGTTTAAAGGGTCATTTTTCTGAGTTATTGTAATTCTGGCATCCACTCTTTTCACATGGCCTTGATTTATACAAAGTATACTCATTGTTCATGATACTTTGGGCAAGGAGCCAGGCCTCCCTTCCTTGGGGACTCTCCATTTTCCTGTGAAAAATGAAGTGCTGGCCACTTACCCTGCTGTTTGGCCTCACTAGGAAGTTTCCGCAGCACTAAGGAAGGAGCAGATACTGCGCAGGCTGTGCTGCTGTTCCTGCAGAATAAACACTGTAACTCAAAGTAGAAAATAGAGTTCAAAGAACTCCATTTCCTTATCTGTCAAGAGAGATAGTCAGACAAAATAATGCCCAACGCACTCGTTATTAACCATTTTAAAGTCATAGATCCTTTTTAAGAACCCAATGGAAAGCATCGACGCTCTTGTCAAAAAAATCCATATCATGCACACACTATTTTGAGTGTAATTTCAAGGAGTTCTAGGAACTGCTTCTTCCCTTCAAAGAATCCTGAGGCTGGAGAAGGAACTCAGGTGGGGACTGGTTTTGTGCACATTACTACTTTTGCTGTAGCTCTAACTCAGAAAGCATGAGACCATTCATAACTTCCCAGATGACAGAGACGCAACACAGTGTGGTGGAAAGAGCGTGGGCCTGATCCCAGACATACCTAGATGTGAGGCTTCGCGCTTGCTAGGCTGGGACCTTGAGCATGCTCCTAGCTAGCCCCTCTACACTGTGAGGATCATAAGGCCGACCTCATGGACTTTGTGGCGAGGAGGAGAAGAGGTGGCATTTTCACCTTCAGCACACAGTAAATGGTGCTCAGGAACAGTGCCTGCCCTGCCATCCCTCTCATCTTTTTCAGGACTCCTATGTGGGTGGGTGGCCTTGTCAGTGTGGCCAGATTTCTCTTGAGCCTGGCATGGGGTCCACCTTCTCATCTCCCCAGCCTCCCACCTGCCAAGGGAAAGTTCCGGCAGCATCTGCCCCAGCCAAAAGCCAAGTAGCAGTAGGAGGACTGCAGAGCCAGTACTCAGGGAGGAGGCAGGAAGTGGGGATGGCCACTAGCAGGTTGGGCTAAGCCGTCCTTACATCCTTTAAATGGCTTTCTCAATTTTTATTTATGTTCAAAGAGGAGGTTAGTCTGTCTTCTACCCTTGGCATTTAGTGATTTCCTCTGGCTGACTCTTGCAAAAGAAATTTCTACATAGGCACTTTCTTTACCCCATTCTATGGCGTTCTCCATCAGGGAAGTTACTGGTGACTCCATATCTGCCCATTCTCCTGAGTTCCCTCTAATAACTTTTGTTAGACTAGAACTCATGCTTTTCTAGAGCCTAGCATCTGTCTGTAAACTAATTACCATTGTTGATTATTTTATTTTATTTTTATTTTTATTTTTATTGATCATTCTTGGGTGTTTCTCACAGAGGGGGATTTGGCAGGGTCATAGGACAATAGTGGAGGGAAGGTCAGCAGATAAACAAGTGAACAAAGGTCTCTGGTTTTCCTAGGCAGAGGACCCTGAGGCCTTCCGCAGTGTTTGTGTCCCTGGGTACTTGAGATTAGGGAGTGGTGATGACTCTTAACGAGCATGCTGCCTTCAAGCATCTGTTTAACAAAGCACATCTTGCACTGCCCTTAATCCATTTAACCCTGAGTGGTCACAGCACATGCTTCAGAGAGCACAGGGTTGGGGGTAAGGTCACAGATCAACAGGATCCCAAGGCAGAAGAATTTTTCTTGGTACAGAACAAAATGAAAAGTTTCCCATGTCTACTTCTTTCCACACAGACACGGCAACCATCCGATTTCTCAATCTTTTCCCCACCTTTCCCGCCTTTCTATTCCACAAAACCGCCATTGTCATCATGGCCCGTTCTCAATAAGCTCTTGGGCACACGTCCCAGACGCGCTGGGCAGAGGGGCTCCTCACTTCCCAGTAGGGGCGGCCGGGCAGAGGCGCCCCTCACCTCCCGGATGGGGCGGCTGGCCGGGCGGGGGGCTGACCCCCCCACCTCCCTCCCGGACGGGGTGGCTGCCCGGCGGAGACGCTCCTCACTTCTCAGACGGGGCGGCTGCCGGGCGGAGGGGCTCCTCACTTCTCAGACGGGGCGGTTGCCGGGCAGAGGGTCTCCTCCCTTCTCAGATGGGGCGGCTGGGCAGAGACGCTCCTCACCTCCCAGACGGGGTCGCGGCCGGGCAGAGGCGCTCCTCACATCCCAGACGGGGCGGCGGGGCAAAGGCGCTCCCCACATCTCAGACGATGGGCGGCCGGGCAGAGACGCTCCTCACTTCCTAGATGGGATGGCGGCCGGGAAGAGGCGCTCCTCACTTCCTAGATGGGATGGGGGCCGGGCAGAGACGCTCCTCACTTTCCGGACTGGGCAGCCAGGCAGAGGGGCTCCTCACATCCCAGACGATGGGCGGCCAGGCAGAGACGCTCCTCACTTCCTAGACGGGGTGGCGGCCGGGCAGAGGCTGCACTCTGGGCACTTTGGGAGGCCAAGGCAGGCGGCTGGGAGGTGGAGGTTGTAGCGAGCCGAGATCACGCCCCTGCACTCCAGCCTGGGCACCATTGAGCACTGAGTGAACCAGACACCGTCTGCAATCCCGGCACCTCGGGAGGCCGAGGCTGGCGGATCACTCGCGGTTAGGAGCTGGAGACCAGCCCGGCCAACACAGCGAAACCCCGTCTCCACCAAAAAAATACGAAAACCAGTCAGGCATGGCAGCGCGCGCCTGCAATCGCAGGCACTCGGCAGGCTGAGGCAGGAGAATCAGGCAGGGAGGTTGCAGTGAGCCAAGATGGCAGCAGCACAGTCCAGCTTCGGCTCGGCATCAGAGGGAGACCGTGGAAAGAGAGGGAGAGGGAGACCGTGGGGAGAGGGAGACCGTAGGGAGAGGGAGAGGGAGACTGTAGGGAGAGGGAGAGGGAGAAGGAGAGGGAGAGGGAGAGCCCATTGTTGTTTATTTTGAATTAATTTCAAGCTTACAGAAGAATTATAAGAATTATACAAAGAGCCCTTGTATAGCCTTCATCCAGATTCCTCATTAATAGTTATCTCCCCCACACACGTAATGCACAGACACTGCATGCATTTTCCTTTTCTTTTTTCTCTTCCTTCTTTTTCTTTTTCTCTCTTTCCCTTTCTCTTCTCCCTCCCCTCCCCACCCCTCCCCTCCCTTCCTCTCCCTTCCCCTCCTCCTACTTCAGCCTCTAGAGTAACTGAGACTACAGGCACAGGCCATCACATCAGTCTAATTTTTGTTTTTTTGTAGAGACAGGGTCTCACCATGTTGCTCGGGCTGGTCTCAAACTCCTGGGCTCAAGTGATCTGCTGGCCTCCCAAAGTGTTGAGATTACAGACGTGAACCACTGTGCCCAACCTGTACTTTTTTCCTGAACCTTTGAATTCTCAAGTTGCAGACAAGATTCGCCACTACTCCTTAATACTTCAATATATATTTCTTAGAAACAAGGTTTCTACATAACCACAGTACAACTGTCCACATCAGGAAATTAACGTTGATACAACATTACTGCTTAATCCCAGACCCCTCACATAACCACAGTACAGCTATCAACATCAGGGAATTCACAGTGATACAGTATTACTGCTTCATCCATGCTCTCCTCCTCACATTTCAGCAGTTGTCCCAATCTGCTTGTTTGTTGGCCTGTTTGAATAGCCCTAGGATCACAGGTTGTTAGTTTATTTGTTTGAATAGCTCTCAGATCGCAGGTTGTTTGTTTGTTTAAATAGCTCTAGGATCACAGGTTGCATTTAGTTGTCATGTCTCTTTGGTCTCCTTCAACCCAGAAGACTAATTGAGTCTTTCTTTGTCTTTCATGACCTTGACATTTTTGAAGAGGATTGGCCAATTACTTTCTGGAATTTCCCTCAGTTTGGGTTTGTCTGATGTTTCCTCATTATTTATGATTTATGCAGAAGTGGTCCTGTGTTCCTAGGAATTCATATCAGGAGGCACAGAATGCCAGTTTATCCCAAAACTTGTGATGTGATGTTCTTTTTTTTTTTTTTTTTTTTTTTGAGACAGAGTCGTTTCACTCTATTCCCCAGGCTGGAGTGCAGTGGTGCGATCTCCACTCACTGCAACCTCCACCTCCTGGGCTCAAGCAATTCTCCTGCCTCAGCCTCCTGAGTAGCTGGGATTACAGGTACCCGCCACTGCACCCAGCTAATTTTTGTCTTTTTTTTAGTAGAGACAGGGTTTTGCCATGTTGGTCAGGATGGTCTTGAACTCCTGACTTCAGGTGATCCACCCGCCTTGGCCTCCCAAAGTGCTGAGATTACAGGCGTGAGCTACCACGGCCAGCCTATGATGTTCGTTTTTATTACTTGGTGTAGATGTTGTCTCTACTGGGTATCTCTATTTATTAATAAGTGTTGGGAGAAACCTTGAAACTTTATCAATATCCTTTTCCTCATCTTTCACTTATCATGTAATTTATTACTAAGATGATTGACAATGATGATTTTTCTTCTTTTTTTTTTTTTTGAGGCAGAGTCTTGCTCTGTCGCCCAGGCTGGAGTGCAGTGACATAATCTCGGCTCCTGGGTTCAAGTGATTCTCCTGCCTCAGCCTCCCAAGTAGCTGGGATTATAGATGCTCGCCACCATGCCCAGCTAATTTTTTTGTATTTTTAGTAGAGACGGGGTTTCACCATGTTGGCCAGGCTGGTTTGGAACTCCTGACCTCAAGTGATCTGCCCACCTCGGCCTCCCTAGATGTTGAGATTACAGGCATGAGCTGCCGCGCCCAGTCAAATGGTGATTTTTCTAGCTACATCATTTCTTCTGCGTTTATCAGTTGGCATTCTACTTTAAGAAAAGCTGTCACTTCTCCCCCTTATGTCTATGTCAGCATGGACTCATGGATTTTTATATTTTATTCAGTAGGTTGTAGGCATCACTATCTCTTTTATTTTTACTGTATTTTGGAATAAATGTATACCTATAGGAAAATTTCACAAATAGTACAGATTTCTTATGTTCCCCTTCACCCAACTTCCCCTGATGTTGACATCTTATATAACCACAGCAGAGTTGTCAAAACTGGCAAGTTAACATTGGTACATTACTATTTAATAACCTGCACACCGTGTTTGAACTTCACCAGTTTTTCCATTAGTGTCTGTTTTTCCTTCCAGGATTTGTCGTTGTTATTTTAGTACTCAAATTGTCCCTGACTTGGCCAGTGGGAGCCTCTTAAAGCTGGCTCTTCATCCTTTTTACATGCCACTATCATTTTTTGAGCACCTCCTTCCTCTCTGGCACAATAAAATATACTAGGCTTATCCTGTACTTTTGTATCCCAGCCCTGGAGTCGTCCATTTCCCCAGGCATTTCTTGTTCCTTTGGTGGAGGATGACATTTAGAAACCAAGTATGCTCATTGCTGCTCGGTGTCATTGCTTCCAGATTGCCTTGGCTGAGAGAGCTAAGAAATGTATGTGTGTATAAACATACGTGTATATGTCTCTATAGCTGTGTGTGCACCTGCTTCTACATATATGCCTCTATAGCTGTGTGTGCACCTGCTTCTATATTAGAACCTGTGCATTTGATGCTGATGCCTTCAATTCTAATCTCACACCACAGGGTTTATTTTAGCCTCTCCCATTCAACGTTGGCAACTGCCTTCTACAACAGTGAGAAATTTGGGTCCTAGCATGCTCAGTATATTTACCTATTTGCTCAGTTTGCCTGTATGTAACCCATCTCCCAGCTGTGCTCAAGCCACACCTTGGCTCCCCAGCCCCACTGGCCACACCAGAGCAACATCCTCAGCCCCAGCAAAAAGGAAGAGGAAGGGATGCAAATTAGTGGGAGTACCCTTGAATTAAGAAGCTCTAGGGTCGGGCATGGTTGCTCGTGCCTGTAATCCCAGCACCCTGGGAGGCTGAGGCAGGTGGATGGCTTGAGCTCAGGAGTTCGAGACCAGCCTGGGTGACATGACAAAACCCTGTCTCTACAAAAAAAAGCCCACAAAAATTAACCAGGTGTGGTGGTGTGCACCTGTAGTCCCAGCTACTCAGGAGGCTGGGGTGGGAGGATTGCTGGAGCCTGGGAGGCAGAAGTTGCAGTAAGCTGTGGTCATGCCACTGCACTCCAGCCTGGGTGACCCTGTCTCAAAAAAATAAAAAAATAAATAAATAAGTTATCTAACTTAATGGGGATCTTCAGCTGCCTTGACCTTGCTCACCTGCGTTGCCATCTTCTGGCTACTGTCTTTCTCTCCCTGTGCCTCACTGCTTGACATTCCAATTAGAATATTGTTTCTGTGAATGCTGACTGCAGGCCCACCAGAGAAATGGCCTTGGCCATCCATGGATAAACCCAGTCTGCAATGGCATATTTTTTCTCCTCACTTTAGTTTTTCCCTCTACTGATACCACTCTGCAACTGTCTTCATTCCTAGGGCATGTAATTTATCAGTGGAACTCCCAGCAGTATTTCGGGAAGGAGGTATTTCCTTCCTTCTCCCTTCCCCTCCCCTCCCCTCCCCTCCCCTTCGACAATGTCTTGCTCTGTTGTCCAGGCTGGAGTGCAGTGGTGGCATTATAGCTCACTGTAACCTCAAACTCCTGGGCTCAAATGATCGTCCTCCCTCAGCCTCCCAAGTAACTGTAACTACAAGCACACACCACCATGCCTAACTAATTTGTTTATTTTTTTTTAGAGATAGGGATCTTACTTTGTTGCCCACACTATTCTCAAACTCCTGGCCTCCTCCTAGCCATGCATGGTGATGGACGCCTGTAGTCCCAGCTACTTGGGAGGCTGAGGCAGGAGAATTGCTTGAGCCTGGGAGGTTGAGGCTGCAGTGAGCCATGATCATGCCACTGCACTTTGTCCTGGGTGACAAAGCAATACTCTGTCTCAAAAAAAAAAAAAAGAAATGTGATCAGATTGGATCATGTATTCAAAACTAATGAGCCTTACGCATTCCCATTGGGGTAACTTACATTCTTCTGTTCTGTGAAATACTGGCTACTGATTTTCTAATGTCTCATGTGGCATCAAAGCATGCTGATGCAGGGTGAAAGATGGAAGGCAGGGGAAGGTTTCCCCAACTGGTTTATTTCTCATCCACTTGAAAGAACAATGTCAGAAGTAACCGAGTAGACATCCTGTAGACATTCTACAAAGTATAGATCTTTAGAGCTTTTTGAAGTGAACATTTTCTTTATGCTGTATGATCATAATTAGTTTATAATCTTACTCATTGGGGTGGCTCTGAAATAGGAAGCAAGTAAGTAAGTATCCATCTTCTAGGGGAACAGGTGAGTGATGAAAATAGAATCACATCAGAGTTGGCTGGCGCGTTGGCTCACGCCTGGAAGCACATCAGAGTCGGCTGGGCGCAGTGGCTCACGCCTGTAATCCCAGCACTTTGGGAGGCTGAGGCGGGCGATCACTAGGTCAGGAGTTCAAGACCAGCCTGGCCAAGATGGTGAAACCCCATCTCTACTAAAAAAAAAAGCAAAAATTAGCCGGTTGTGGTGGTGTGTGCCGGTAGTCCCAGCTACTCAGGAAGCTGAGGCAGTAGAATCACTTGAACCCGGGAGGCAGAGGTTGCAGTGAGCTGAGATCAAACCACTGCACTCCAGCCTGGACAACTGAGTGAGACTCCGTCTCCAAAAAAAGCAAAAAACAAAAACAAAAAAAAACAAAAAAAACACCCATGTCAGAGCTCTGGTCCCTGATTTGGTTGGCACTATCAATTTAGAGATTAGAATCTCATAAGAAGACCCCAGGGGAATCTTTTGCCTTCTGTTCCATGTTCTCCTCCACTGCACCGGCCTCCATCCCGTTTCCACCTTCCCACCCTCCATTCCCATCCCCTAGGAACAAAGTGTGGAGGTTGATCAGGTAAGTATGTATCGAGCACTAGCATGAAGCTTCACTCCACTCATTGGCATGACGGGCGGGCCGGGGGCAGCAGAACCAGCATAAACGTCATTCCTCCTCTCAGGGAGCTTGTGTTAACAGGCACGAAACAGATGATTCTACCTCCTTCGCCTTTTGTACCAACTTCAGTTGATAGAGGTGACTGGCTGGAGTGCTGTCTCAAGAAGGATTCTGGAATCACAAGAGAGATCAGTGAAGAAAGGGCTCCTTGTTGATTAGCATTGCCTACCGTGGCCCAGGATGGGAGAAGATAGGTTATTTCTTTCTTTTTTTTTTTTTTTTTTTGAGACGGAGTCTCGCTCTGTCGCCCAGGCTGGAGTGCAGTGGCGGGATCTCGGCTCACTGCAAGCTCCGCCTCCCGGGTTCACGCCATTCTCCTGCCTCAGCCTCCCAAGTAGCTGGGACTACAGGCGCCCGCCACTACGCCTGGCTAATTTTTTTGTATTTTTAGTAGAGACGGGGTTTCACCGTTTTAGCCGGGATGGTCTCGATCTCCTGACCTCGTGATCCGCCCGCCTCGGCCTCCCAAAGTGCTGGGATTACAGGCGTGAGCCACCGCGCCCGGCCGGTTATTTCTTGAATATATGGCATCCTCGCACTGTCTAATAAAGTGTTAAATAAAGTGTTGGTGGGTGGCAGATGACAGAAGTTGCAGCTGCTGCGGGTGAGACCTGGATGAGCTTGAAAGGGGAGTGGACAGGTGGTGGGAGAGCGTTTTGGCCAGGACGTCACACAGGCCCAGTGACCGGGAGTAGGCCAGCAGGGGAGCCGTTGCGAGGCCCACTGACCGGGAGTAGGCCAGCAGGGGAGCTGTTGCGAGGAACCTCTGGCTGGAGTGTTGGGTCAGCTGTGGAGGAGAGGTGGGAGATTCAGTGGGAAAGTGAGGCAAGAGAGGTTATGAGGAACAAGAGTGGTGGCCATGAAGCTTTCCGAGGTCAACCAACGAGATCCTTCCCTGCTTTCTCACTATCACCACAGACAGAGACTTAGCCTAGGCCAGAAGCTCTTTGAGGGCAGAGTGGTTGTATCTGGATATAATAGACTTTCTTTTTCTTTTCTTTCTTTTTTTTTTTTTTTTTTTTTTTGAGATGGGGTTTCGCTCTTGTTGCCCAGGCTGTAGTGCAATGGTACGATCTCGGCTCACTGCAACTTCCGCCTCCCAGGTTCAAGTGATTCTCCTACCTCAGCCTCCCGAGTAGCTGGGATTACAGGCACCCGCCACCACGCCTGGCTAATTTTTTGTGTTTTTAGTGAAGACGGGGTTTCTCTATGTTGGTCAGGCTGGTCTCAAACTCCCGACCACAGGTGATCCACCCGCCCCGGCTTCCCAAAGTGCTGGGATTACAGGTGTGAGCCCCCACGTTGGGCCTATAATAGACTTTCAATAACAAAAGCCTTTGAGTAAAATGTCAATTTTCTCCTATTCCTGCTAATTGGTGGTATGTGTGGTTCTTGTCTTTTTCTTCCTTACCATTATATAAATACATTTTTAAAACACAGCTGGATTCCTATAGCCTTAAACGGCAACCTAAAAAGATGCAACATGTCAGGAGTGGTGGGAACCCTTCCCATTCTTCACACAGCACAGCTGTGCAGGCAGCAGTTACTGCAGCTCTGCTGGATCCTCACAGGTGATGACACAATTCAACGGAACAATTACAGGGATGTTTGAATGGGAAATCGGAGAAAAATTGCAACTCTCATCCCCACTGTGGCCTGAGGCAAGTCTGGAGCTGCTCATACCCTGTTTTGGTTTTTGTTTTTTTTTTCCAGATATCAAGTCTTGCTCTGTTGCCCAGGCTGGAATGCAGTGGTGTGAGCTGGGCTCACAGCAACCTCCGCCTCCTGAGTTCAAGTGATTCTCTGCCTCAGGTCTCAGCCTTCCAAGTAGCTGGGATTACAGGCATGCGCCACCACCCCCAGCTAATTTTTTTTTTTTTTTTTTTTCTGAGACAGAGTCTCACTTTGTTGCCCAGGCTGGAGGGCAGTGGTGCAGTCTCAGCTCACTGCAAGCTCCGCCTCCCGGGTTCATGCCATTCTCCTGCCTCAGCCTCTGAAGTAGCTGGGACTACGGGCACCCGCCATCATGCCCGGCTAATTTTTTTTTTGTATTTTTAGTAGAGACGGGGTTTCAACGTGTTAGGATGGTCTTGATCTCCTGACCTTGTGATCCGCCTGCCTTGGCCTCCCAAAGTGCTGGGATTACAGGCATGAGCCACTGTGCCTGGCCCACACCACGCTAATTTTTGTATTTTTAGTAGAGACGGGGTTTTGCCATGTTGGCCAGGCTGGTCTCGAACTCCTGGCCTCAAGTGATCCGCCGCCTGGGCCTCCCAAAGTGTTGGGATTACAGGCATGAGCCACCGCACCCGGCCCACACCCGGCTAATTTTTGTATTTTTAGTAGAGACGGGGTTTTGCCATGTTGGCCAGGCTGGTCTCGAACTCCTGTCCTCAAGTGATCTGCCCGCCTCGGCCTCCCACAGTGCTGGGATTACAGGCTTGAGCCACCACACTCTGCCCGTACCCTCTCTTTTCCTAAGATTTTTTTAAACCTTTGATTCTGGAAGTTCTAAGAAAAAACTAAATCGGAGGAGAAAGAAACCATTATAACACATTTCACAGTTTCTCTTTGTTTAGGCATCTGTCTCTTGGGCACATTTAGGTTCGTGATGTCTAAATATGTGCTGACATCATAACCTTTTTGTTTTTAGGAAGTAGAGTGCTTAAAGGCTTGAAGCTTAGAGCCAGGCTGCTTAGTTTTTAATCGTGGCTCTCCTGTTTTCTTGCTGTATTACTCTGGACAAGGTACTCAACTTTTCTGTACTTAACTCTTTGAAAATGAGGATAGTAATAATACATACTATGTAAGTTTATTGTAAAAAGTAAATGAGCTGGGCGCAGTGAGTGGCTCACACCTGTAATCCCAGCACTTTGGGAGGCCAAGGTGGGTGGATCACCTGAGGTCAGGATGTCGAGACCAGCCTGGGCAACATGGTGAAACCCTGTCTCTACTGAAAATAAAAGTTAGCTGGGCATGGTGGCGTGTGCCTGTAGTCCCAGCTACATGGGAGGCTGACGCAGGAGAATTGCTTGAACCCTGAAGATGGAGGTTGCAGTGGGCCAAGATCATGCCGCTGCACTCCAGCCTGGGCCAACAGAGCAAGACTCTGTCTCAAAAAAAAAAAAAAAAAAAAAAAAAGGAAATGAAGTTCAGTGAGATGGGTATAAAGCATGGACATAATACCTGGTGCATCTCAAGTGTTCAGAAAACGATCACTATCATGATTTAGGGTTTTCCTTTTTGGAGGGGTAAACAGTACTAATATGATAGAAGGATTAGTTTCTTACTTTAGTATTGGAGTCTAGGCTCAGCTCTGCCACAGACTTTGTGAGAAACTTTCTAGGACTTAATTTTCTCATCTTTTAGCGGGACCAGTAATACCCTATCTTGCTTACAGGGGTTTGGAGTCCAATATGATAATGAAATGCCTTGAAAAGTATAAAGCACAAATGTCAATCGACTTAGAGATTAGAATCTCATATGTCAGATTTTATTACTGCTGTTGTAGGAGTGGTGGTGGTAGTGAATGATGATATTGATTAAAATCGATCCGATTTTAAGTTTTAAATGCAGTAGGAATGATTACTTGTGGCAGTAGTTTATGTACATTGCAAACGAGCACATTTGCTTTACTTTTCTTGAAGTAAAATAACATTTTTGGTTTTTTTTTTTCCTCCTAGGAACCTCGGAGAGCTGATAGATCGGTTTGTGGCTGATTTCAAAGCCCAGGGGCCACCTAAGCCCAACACTGATGAAGGGGGTGCCGTGCTCCCCAGCTGCGCCGACCTCTTTGTCTACTACAAGAAGTGCATGGTGCAATGCTCTCAGCTCAGTACTGGGGAGCCCATGATCGCCCTGACCACCATTTTCCAGAAGTACCTCCGAGAATACGCCTGGAAAATCCTCTCTGGCAACCTGCCCAAGTGAGTCCTGTTCTTCATAGTCTGAGTGGTGGCAAATAGACCTAAATATGGGAATCTTAAGGAAATCCACTCTGAAGTTGTTTACTAAACCACCAAGAGTATCAAGGAGGAAAGCACGCTTCCTGAGTTCCCGAGGGCCTGAAGCTATTTCCTCTCTGACATTCCACAGCTGATCAAGACCATCAGAGGAAATGTCCACACTGACTGCCCACGTGGGCAAATCTTACCACGGTGGACTCGAGAACCAATCCCATTGTATGCCTATTTAATTTTCATGGATTCAGCTATAGATACTTGGCACATACAAAAAAAGTGAGGTTGTGGTGGAAATAACTGATAAATAGCTTAAGCAGTTTCACCCAAGCCTCTTTTGGTGAGATGATGCCCCGGAGTGATGGGTTGGAGGAATGAATCTGCTTTTTCCTCATTCCCAGTAGGTTCCAAGTCCCTCTTGTGGTGCACACTTCCTGCCATGCTGGACAGAGCCTAATGTTTCAGATGCGGTAGGATTGGGGGTCAGCTACTGCATAGCTCCTAATTATGGGGACTATTGTGTTATCCTGAGGCATTAGAACTGGACATAGCCTAATGTTTGAAGATGCGGTAGGATTGGGGGCAGCCGAGGCAGGAGGATCACTTGAGGTCAGGAGTTTGAGACCAGCCTGGCTAATATGGTGAAACCCCATCTCTACTAAAAATACAAAAATCAGCTGGGTGTGGTGGTGCATGCCTGTAGTCCCGGCTGCTCGGGAGGCTGAGGCAGGAGAATCACTTGAACCCGGGAGGCGGAGGTTGCGCTGAGCCGAGATTGTGCCATTGCACTCCAGCCTGGGCATTGCAGGGAGACTCCGCCCTAAAAAATAAATAAATAAATAAATAAATTATGTATAATCCCACTACCCAAAGAGAACGTAACTTTTTGTATATATTTTTCCGTTCTTGATAGATACCTAATGTGTGTGATCTGTGTGCTTTTGTTTGTTTGTGTCACGGAATTGGGGCTATACTGCTTATAGCTTTATTCCCTGCAGCTACCGTTTAACTTCATCGTGGGAGCATTTTCCCACGTGTATTAGTCAGCATCTCAGCAGAAAAAAATGGCATACTCAGCTGGGATTATGTCAGTAGAGAGACTGTTCACAGAAGTGGGGGCAAGGTGAAAGGAGCCAACAGAGGATTCCAAAGCATCCAGATATGAGTGGGTAGTGGTTACTACCATAGAACTCACTCAGTAGCTGGGGCTGCCCCAAAACCTGTAGTCACAGGAGGATGTGTGATGGGTGTTGGCCTCTTGAGACACTTAGGGCCTTGGGCAGGAAGCATGTCTTAACATTCGCTTATGTCCTCCTCCACAAGCACACATGAGTCCCCTTGCAGACTTCTCTTAACATTCGCTTATATCCTCCTCCACCAGCACACACGAGTCCCAGTGCAGACTTTTCTTAACATTCACTTATGTCCTCCTCCACAAACACACATGAGTTCCAGTGCAGACTTCTCTTAACATGCG
Organism: Homo sapiens; assembly: GCF_000001405.40. Lineage (NCBI taxonomy): Eukaryota > Metazoa > Chordata > Mammalia > Primates > Hominidae > Homo > Homo sapiens. The sequence goes on along the minus strand of NC_000017.11, from coordinate 560,992 downwards.
CTTATGTCCTCCTCCACCAGCACACATGAGTCCCAGTGCAGACTTTTCTTAACTGAAAGAAACAGGGTAGGTAACCATCTTTCGTGCTCCACACGGTCCTAAATGAGTTCTGCACATCAGGAGATTCCAAGCTAAAGAGAGGACAGCTCAGCAGCCTTCCCTTTGGATATTAGACCATCCTAGTTAATGTGACTAATGGCCTGCTGATGATTCAGATTAACTAAAATAGGAATCATCTCTTCCTATTTCTGACGGTGTCAAGGTAAGGTCAGTAGGAAAAGGACTCATTGTATGTGAATTGATTTGGGCCATGTCCAGCCTTTACTTCCCCCTTTTCTGTATCTTAAAATAATGTAGTTTCCAGTTCAGGAAGCAAATTAGAAATTCCATGCTGACTTGTTCCTGTTCCTTTTCTTCAGAACCACAACCAGCAGTGGAGGACTGACTATCAGCAGCCTCCTCAAGGAAAAGGAGGGCTCAGAAGTAGCCAAGTTCACTCTGGAGGAGCTCTGCCTCATCTGTAACATCCTGAGCACGGCAGAGTACTGTCTGGCCACCACCCAGCAGGTGAGCCATCCTGGCTGCCCACTCACCACCTCCTTTTCCTGAACCCTCTGGGCTGCGTCGCTCGGCGAGTAAGAATATACGTCCTAACATGGCCACAGACAACCTTGGGTCAGACCAGTTGGCCTGCCACAGAGGAAAGCTCAGTGTCCAGCCATAAGGCTGCCCAGGCAGCTGTCTTACAGAAAGGCCTTGTTAAAAGAAGACTGGGCAAGAAAGTATGACTGGTCACCTCCCTGGAGTTGTGTAAGCTCCTCAAAGGGCATGACCTGTTAAAAGTAGGTCAGTAGCACTCCAACCCATATGAGAAAAGCAGTAACAAGCTTGTCTGTGCTAGGACCCAGCCTTTGGTGATGATGAGTCACAGCCAGTTATTCCATGCTCAGAAGTGTTACTAAGTTAAGCAGAATCCTTTGGGCTTTTATGTGTCTTCTGAAATTTACATGGCATTTTCAATCTGCCTCAACAAATAGCCATTGTTTGGGATGCTGACGTTTAGGAACTGGGGGACAGGAAAGGGTGATGCCTCTGCTGGAGGCCCCCACATGGCCATAGTTCAGCAACTGATGGAGCAGAAGGAAGACCCAGAATAACCTTTGATTCAGCCTTAAACATGGAATTAGAAGTCCTTTTCACACTTGGTCTGGGATTCCCCTGAGGCCAAGAGAAAGAAAGTAATTTGGAAAGGTTCTGCTCTTCTACCCACTTTGTATTTATAATTTACAGATGCCTAGACCACAAGAAGACAGTCATAAATGATAGTTCAGACAGCCCAGCTTGGAGCTCCTGTGTGCCAGGGCAGCAATATAGCAGGTCAAATAGGAAGTGTGTCTACCAAGGCCCCTCAGTGGCACATAAGCCAGCCAGAGGCAGAGGCAGCAGCACACTCTGCCTGGGGACCTGGTCATGTTGAGTTGCGAAGGTCATGACCTTCCAGGGTTTGGCCTTGGAGCCACAGAGCAGTCCGTTTAGCCCCAGGCCACTCCCCAGGTAAGATGGCACTATCTGTAAGGACCTCCAAGGCAGGGGTTCCAGAGTTCTTTCATGAAGAAACACTGTTTAACTATTTTGGGTGTGCACAGAAAGAAATACGATACATGTAAATATGCTATTTTAAAGGTAAAATAACCGTAGTATTTAAAAAAATAAAGATCCCTTTTAATCCCATCATCCTCAAATAATCATATTAGCAATTTGGGGTATTTTTTCAATTGTTATTCATAGACATAGTTTTGAATGTTACAATCTTAATTCACTGTTATATCCTTTTATTGTTAGTGTCATACATAGCATTAGCATTTCTCCTGTCATTATAATGATAGTAATAATCATAACTATCATTACAGGGTCATTATTACTATCATTGTTTATGGCCACATAATATTTCTCTTTAAGGGACTATACCATAAATTATTTATTTATTTATTTATTTTGAGACAGAGTCTTGCTCTGTCTTCCAGGCTGGAGTGCAGTGGCCATGATCTTGGCTCATTGCAGCCTCCACCTCCCAGGTTCAAGCAATTCTTCTGCCTCAGCCTCCTGAGTAGCTGGGATTATAGATGCCCATCACCATCCCCGGCTAATTTTTGTATTTTTTTTTTTTTTTTAGTAGAGATGGGGTTTCACCATCTTGGCCAGGCTGATCTCCAACTCTTGACCTTGTGATCCACCTGCCTTGGCCTCCCAAAGTGCTGGGATTACAGGTGTGAGCCCCTGTGCCCGGCCTTGTACCATAACTTATTTAGCAAGCATCCCTGATCGTTGTTTATAGTGCTTCAAATTTTGCTTTTTTTTTGAAACAGAGTCTCTCTCTGTCACCCAGGCTGGAGTGCAGTGGCACGATCTCGGCTCACTGCAAGCTCCCCCTGCCGGGTTCTCGCCATTCTCCTGCCTCAGCCTCGCGAGTAGCTGGGACTACGGGTTCCCATCACCACGCCTGGCTAATTTTTTTTTATTTTTAGTAGAGGCCGGGTTTCACTGTGTTAGCCAGGATAGTCTCGATCTCCTGATCTTGTGATCTGCCCGTCTTGGCCTCCCAAAGTGCTGGGATTACAGACGTGAGCCACTGTGAGTAGCTGGGACTACAGGCACCCGCTACCACACACAGCTAATTTTTTGTATTTTTAGTAGAGACGGGGTTTCACTGTGTTAGCCAGGATGGTCTCAATCTCCTGACCTCGTGATCCACTCACCTTGGCCTTCCAAAGTGCTGGGATTATAGGCGTGAGCCACCATGCCCAGCCAAAATTTTGCTTTTATAGATAATCCTGGCAGGGTACAGTGGCTCACGCCTGTAATCCTAGCATATTGGGAAGCCAAGGTGGAAGGATCGCTTGAGGCCAATAGTCCAAGACCAGCCTGGGTAACATAGTGAGACCTGGTCTTTACAAAAAATTTAAAAGTTAGTTGAGTGTGGTGGTACATGCCTGTGGTCTCAGCTACTTGGGAAGCTGAGGTTGGAGGATCGCTTGAGCCTGGGAGGTCAAAGCTGCAGTGAGCTATGATCACACCACTGCACTCCAGCCTGGGTGACAGAGTGAGACCCTGTCTCTAAAAAAAAAAAAAAAAAAAAAGATAATCCTTACAAAGAATGTCTTTCTGAATATAGCATCTTAAATGTTTTGCATTAGTTTTCTAGAACAGACTCTTAGAAGTTCTAGAAATAAGTTGAAGACCATTTTGATGACTGATGATACAAGTGGCCAATTATTTTTTATTTAGTGAAAATTGTTTTTATTGATTACAAAAGTAATACATTCTTAGCACCTTTATTGTGATCTCTAAATACAATTTTCCACTAAAAGAAACCAGAGATTCCTGGAGAAATGACTAATTCCAGGTCAAGGGCAGGAAATCTACAAGATGAATCAGAACATCATGTTACACAAAAAGCAAGAAAAATATCAAAGACTATTAGTGTCATCTCAAGAGGACCCAGGGAGATATAGTGGGTTGAAGTGTCCCCCCAACCCCAAAATATGTCCAAGTCCTAGGCCTTGGGACATGTAAATGTGACTTTATCTTGGTAAATGTAATTAAGTATCTCAAGATGAGATGGTCCTGGATTTAGGATTGGTGGGGGGCCTTATCTAATGACTGTTGTCCTTAGAAAGGAGAGAGAGATTGAACACACAGAGATACAGGGAAGAAGGCCGTGAGAAGGAGGCAGAGGCTGGAGTCAGACTTCTATGAGCCAAGGAACATCAAGGATTGCCAGCAAACACCCAAAGCTAGAAGAGAGGTGTAAATAGTTTTTTCCTCAGAGCTTCCAGAAGAGTGGGGGCGCGGTGGCTCATGCCTATAATCCCAGCACTTTGGGAGGCTGAGGAGGGTGGATCACTTGAGGTCAGGAGTTTAAGACCAGTCTCGTCAACATGGCAAAACCCCGTCTCTACTAAAAGAATACAAAAATTAGCCGGGTGTGGTGGCTTCTCACTTGGCAGTCTCATTCCCCAAGCCTCAGGTCCCCGCTTCAGTATCACCTCCTCAGAGAGCCCCTCCTGGCCACCCCCCTTCAGCAGAGAGGCCCTCCTGGCCACCCCCCTTCAGTAGGTAGCTCCCTTATTCCAGCACTGCCAAATTTATTTCCTAACACCACAAAACCGAAGTTACGTCTCGGCTGGCTTACTTCCTTATTATCTGGCGCCCCCATTAGTTTTAAGTTACATGCCAGAAAGTCTACTTTGTTCACCTCTGTTCATTAGCACCAAATACAATGCCTGGTACGTAATAAGTGCTTAATAAAGATCTCTTGAAGGAATAAAAGAGCCCACTCCTGAGATAATGGCATTAACCCATGATGATGCCAGAGCCCTCATGACCTCATACCTCTCAACACTGTGGCTTCAGGGATTAAGCTTATAACCCATAAACTTTGGAGAACACAATCAAACCACAGAACGATGTTATGAATTGCTATTGTAAATAGTTTTTAAAAAACATAAACTACACTTTTAAGGATACTTTTACATTTACAGAAAAATTGCAAAGATCGTTTGTATGGTTCCCATATACCACTTACCCAGTTTCCCATATTATTAACATTGATATGAAATATTTGTTACAATTAATGAACCAATAATGATGTATTATTGGTGTTGCTTTTAAATTTTATTTTCCAATTCCTTGTTGCTCAGATTCTTTTTGTTTAATATGGGGTCTCAATCTGTTGCCCAGGCTGGAGTGCGGTGGTTTGATCACAGCTCACTGAAACCTGGAACGAAAGCGATCCTACCCTCAGCCTCCCAAGTGGCTGGGACTACACTGGGACTTCAGGCACCTGCCACCATGCCTGGCCAGTATTTTTTTATTTTTTGTAGAGATAGGGTCTCACTGTGTTGCTCAGGCTGGTCTTGAGCTCCTGGGCTCAAGTGATCTTCTTGCCTCAGCCCCCAAAGAGTTGGGATTACCGGGTGAGCCACTGGGTCCAGCCTGCTCAGATTATTAAGTCTCTGGTTTCTTCTTCCATTTCCCTTTGCCCCCTCTGCAATCTTTTCTTAAAGAAACTGTGTTGTTTGCCCTGTAGATTTTCCCAAGTTTTGGATTTTCCTGATTGCACCCACGAGTATTAATGGACATTTTACTTTGTCTCGTATTTCCCATAAATTGGTAGTTAGATGTAGAAGCCTGAGCTGATTCAGATTCTTTTTTACAGAAAACTACATCATAATGATGTTTTGTACGTCTGTCATCAAGATACATAATGTTTGGTTGCTCTTTGTGTGATGTCAGCAGCCTCTGATGCTCAAAGCCCAGATCCATTATTCCATTAGGAGGTATAAAGAATGATACTCTGGCCGAGTGCAGGGGCTCACGCCTGTAATCCCAGCACTTTGGGAGGCCGAGGTGGGTGGATCACCTGAGGTCAGGAGTTCGAGACCAGCCTGGCCAACATAGTAAAACCCCCGTCTCTACTAAAAATACAAAAATTAGGGCCGGGCGTGGTGGCTCACGTCTGTAATCCCAGCACTTTGGGAGGCTGAGGCGGGTAGATCACGAGGTCAGGAGTTTGAGACCAGCATGGCCAACATGTGGCCAAAAAGTGAGGAGCCTGGAGGGCTTAGAAAGTGGGGGTGCGGCAAAGCAAGGCAGTGGGTCAGCAGGGCTGAGCAGGCCATGTTTCAGGGAGAGGAATAAGGAAGTGTGAAGTATGAAGGTCCTGAGGGCGAAGGACCCTGGTGTCTCCCAGAAATTTAAAAGGCCAGTGTAACTGAAGCCTAGCAGGCAAGGTGGAAAGTGGCAAGACGGGGCCAGAAAGCTGGGCAGGACCCAATTCATGGTTAGGAATTTGGATTTTATTTTCGGTGTCATAGGAAGAGGCTGCTGAAGAGTTTAAGCATGATAAGCCTGTGCCATAATTTGTTTTATCCTTTGTAAATACACATGTAGATTGTTTCCAGCTTTATGAGAACAGTATTGATCTGTTTTGTTCACTAAATAACTCTCTTATTCTGTTACACAGCCTGAACAAAGCGGGCTCTCATTAAATATTGGTTGAATTAATGAATGCTGCAAAAAATACTTGCATATCTTTGTATGTTATTCTCCTTATTTCATTGAAATGCATTTCTAGTTGTGAAATTGCTGGTTTAGGCAATATGTGTATTTAAAGTTTTGCTTTTTGAATAAATTGCCTTCCAAAAAGTTTATGCTAATTTATGCACCCCAACAGCATTTTCAAATTTAAGACAAAACATTGGTTATTCTGTCCTGGCACGGTGGCTCACACCTGTAATCCCAGCTGTAGTCCCAGCTACTCAGTGCTTTGGGACACGGAGGTGGGTGGATCACCTGAGGTCAGGAGTTCAAGACCATCCTGGCTGATATGGTGAAACCCCGTCTCTACTAAAAATACGAAATTAGCCGGACATGGTGATGCACGCCTGTAGTCCCAGCTACTCGGGAGGCTGAGGCAGGAGAATCACTTAAACCCTGGAGGCAGAGGTTGCAGTGAGCCAAGATCGTACCATTGCACTCCAGCCTGGGCAACAAGAGTGAAACTCCGTCTCAAAAAAAAAGGCCAAAACATTAGCTATTCTTAGAGTTTGTGTAATAGGTTTACAGTGCTAGATTAATCAACTCCCAGGGATATCTCCAAGTATTTACAAGTCTTGGTCCCGTTATTTTTCTTTGAGCGCCAGGAGCGTGTTGAGTGTTTCTGTCCCCGGCTGTCGGCTGATGATGGCAGGGACCACATTTCTTTTGTTTACCACTGTATCCCCAATGCCTTAATGAGGTGCTTGGCCCGTAGTAGCATTCACTGACTATTTTAGCTGGTTTTACTGCTACTCAACACCAAAGGTTTCCATTGTGGGTGGGCAAGTCTGTAGTTCATGGGGCAGGGAGTATCTTAAAATCAGCGTCTTTTCAGAATGAGTTGATGTGAATTATTGATGTGTGGTAAGAAACAAGTACTGCACAGTGCTAAAGGGCACAGGCTCTGGAGGAAGTTTGATTCCTGGCCCTACCACTTCTATCTTGGGTAGGCCCCCCCTCTATTTTTCTGATCTGTAAAATGACGATGATAATAATAGAATCTTCCTCATAAGGTTGTAAGATTGGCCAGGCACAGTGGCTCACACTTGTAATCTCAGCACTTTGGGAGGCCAAGGCAGGCAGGTCACCTGAGGTTGGGAGTTTGAGACCGGCCTGACCAACATGGTGAAACCCCATCTCTACTAAAAATATAAAATTAGCCGGGTGTGGTAGCGCACGCCTGTAGTCCCAGCTACTCGGGAGGCTGAGGCAGGAGAATTGCTTGAACCCAGGAGGCAGAGGATGCAGTGAGCCGAGGTCGCACCACTGCACTCCAGCCTAGGCAACAAGAGCGAGTCTCAAAAAAAAAAAAAAAAAAAGTGTATGGAATTATGCCTGAATCATCAAACGCAGTAAATGTTAACTATTATTGTGATGGTACTTCTTTGGATAATCATTAACCGTGCATCCATTTCTTCTGTTTTTCAACAGCTAGAAGAAAAACTCAAAGAAAAAGTGGATGTAAGTCTGATTGAACGAATCAATCTGACTGGAGAGATGGACACGTTCAGCACGTATGTACCCTGCACACACTTACTGGCTGCCTGCCCTTTCTCCACTACACAGCAGCGTGCAGCACGTATGTACCCTGCACACGCTTGCTCGCTGCCTGCCCTTTCTCCACTACACAGCAGCATGTGGCACGTATATACCTTGTACACGCTTGCTCACTGCCTGCCCTTTCTCCACTACACAGCAGCGTGCGGCACGTATATACCTTGTACACGCTTGCTCACTGCCTGCCCTTTCTCCACTACACAGCAGCATGTGGCACGTATATACCTTGTACACACTTGCTCGCTGCCTGCCCTTTCTCCACTACACAGCAGCATGTGGCACGTATATACCTTGTACACGCTTGCTCACTGCCTGCCCTTTCTCCACTACACAGCAGCGTGCGGCACGTATATACCTTGTACACGCTTGCTCACTGCCTGCCCTTTCTCCACTACACAGCAGCGTGCGGCACGTATATACCTTGTACACACTTGCTCGCTGCCTGCCCTTTCTCCACTACACAGCAGCGTGCCTCAGGCTGTTGGCTTTAGTCACTACAGAACCTAAGAGGTTTCTGTTGGGTCAGAATGAGTCCCTACTGGCCACTAAGAAGAAGCTTCAGAACTGGGCTGCCATTGTACCTCCTCAGATGCAGTTGCTCTTTTAGCTTATGGGGTCTTCATTGTCTCACTGTGAAGAATAACCACAGAGAAGACATTCTCCCTTGGCCATTGCTGATCTGCCCCCACCTAAACCCACAGAAGGCCAGGCCTACCTTCAGTGTTTTAAAGTATAAAGTATAAATGGCTTAAATTTAGCCACCGAGGGAATAAGAGTGTGGGAGTGGCAGGGGAGGTCCGTCCAGGAAGTTCTAACAGTAAAGTCTTCTTTCCCTGTTAGGACCTTGTGGTATTTTTGTTGTGGTCAGTTTCTGTTCCACTGCCATTAAATGAGACAGGCATGGGCCAGGCCTCAGCTTTCACATCAACCACTTATTGACGAAGAATCAAAATTCTCAGCTTTCACATCAACCACTTATTGACGAAGAATCAAAATTCTCAGCTTTCACATCAACCACTTATTGACGAAGAATCAAAATTCTCTTCTTAGTTTATTTCCTCCACTTTTCTTAGCTTTTTATTTTCTTCAGTTCTGACTTAAACATTTTTGGGAAGCAGGTTCTTTGGGAGGAAGATGTGAACAGGGATACTGGGGTGGTGATTAGGGAGACTGACCGTGGGATTCTATATCCTGACTGGGTGAGGACACACCCAGATAAAACCAGGACATGAAGAAAGAGCCAAGCTGTTCCTCCGCTGTCATTAATTAAAGCTCAAACTTTGCCAGTGAAATGATGAATCTGATTTTTACACAGGGGCCTGAGTGTCAGTCATTCAGACGGCCGTTGTTTGAAAGGGTGACCACAGTGATTTGTTTGATTTGCAGCGTCATCTCCAGCAGTATTCAGCTGCTGGTTCAGGATCTGGATGCTGCCTGTGATCCTGCCCTGACTGCCATGAGCAAGGTAAGGTCTTGGGAAATGGCATCCTACAAACTAACGAGAGCAGCCCAAGGTGGCTTCTACTGGCCCTTGTCTGTAGCTTCTCCAGGCTCATCGGAGCGTAAAGGATCAGCTGAGGAGAATGGAGAGGCCCCGGAGTTCCTGAAAGCACTCAGTTAGTGTCGCACCTGCGTCAGTTCAGTTGCTTGTCCTTTTAGAATGAGACAGAGCATCACAGTATTGGAGGATGGCAAAAAAAAAAGAGACGAAGTAAATGTGTTTGATGAGTCTAAAGGAGATGTTGTCTGTGGTTTATTTATATTTTTTTAGAGACAGGGTCTCTCTCTGTCACTCAGGCTGGAGTGCAGTGGTGCCACCATGACTCCCTGCAGCCTTGACCCTCTGGGCTCATCAGTCCTCCTGCCTCAGCCTCCCAAGTAGCTGAGACCACAGGTGCATGCCACTGTGTCCAACTACTTTTTAAATTTTTTGTAGAGCTAAGAGTCTTGCTATGTTGCCCAGGCTGGTCCTGAACTCCTGGCGTCAAGCAGTCTTCCCACCGAGTCCTCCCCAAGTGCTGGGATTACAGGCATGAGCCACAGTGCCCAGCTGAGATGGATCATTTTTAATTACTGAGCGCTACCTCATGTTCCTCTCATGTTCCTATTTTTGGCTTTTATGTGCCTATGCCTTTTTTTCCCAAATGAATGTCAATTCCGTAAGTGCACAGACCATGTCTTTCACCCCTCTTTTATCTCTCATGTAGTCTTGAATATGGGAGATTCATTTTTGTTAATTAAAAACCAATCAGCCATGTCCTTTATTTACGTATTATCTTTGATTAGTATCTGACACATGCTAAAAACCTTGGTGTGGTCTCACCAGAATGGGTGTTTTCATTAGTGCTTAAAGTAGTAACTTCTGACTCATTCTTCATTCTTGCCCACTGAGAGGTTTTTCCAACTCCTTCTGAGCTCTGGTGCCAATGTAAGAGTATTTGATCAGGTTGTGAACTCTGGTTTTCTAATATCGTGGTGGCCCATCAGTCAGCCCTTGGCCCTCAAGTCTCCTCCTTTGGCACTTACTGAGCGCTACCTCATCTTCCTATTTTTGACTTTTATGTGCCTATGCCTTTTTTTCCCAAATGAATGTCAATTCCGTAAGTGCACAGACCATGTCTTTCACCCCCTCTTTTATCTCTCTTGTAGTCTTGAATATGGGAGATTCATTTTTGTTAATTAAGTTGGAAATGGGCCTTTGTTATGCTAAACCCAAGTAACATGCAGCTGCAACTCTAGAACTTTGTAGAGCAGGGGTTGGCAAACTAGAGCCTGGGAACCAGATCTGGCCCACTGCTTGTATTTGAAAATAAAGTTTTATTGGAATACAGCCATGTTCCTTTATTTATGTATTATCTATGGCTGCCTTTTTGCAATATAGTGGTAGAATTGAGCCATTGCAACAGAGACTAGCCCACAAAGCTAAAAAAATTAAATATTTACTGTCTGGCCCTTTACAGAAAAAGTTTGCCAATGTCTGCTCTAGAGTCATAGGCTCTTGTAGCAAATTCTGGAGAAACAATTTATCTAGGTTATACTGGCCAGTACCAGAGGGCAGTGGGAGGAACACTAACTTTAGAGTCAGACAGACCTAACTCCTCCAGGGTTTCCTTTGGGGTGTTGAGCAAATGATTCACCTGTCTGGGCCAACGTGACATCATCTGGGCCCACATACCCCAAGTGAACTGTGGATCTCTGCCTCCCAGCATTGCTGTGAGGATGAAACATGGAACGGGCGGGTCTAGTGCCAGGCACATAGTAAATGCTCATTAAATGTTAGTTCCCTCTCCCTCTTGTCAGGAGGAATGACCATGTCACAAGGTTGTGTAAGCAGACATTTGGTCTGAATTTGGTTTTGCAGTAGATTGTAAATATTTAACAAAAATAAGATTAAAACCAAAATGTAGGCTTTAGGGTTTTATGAACTGAAGTGGCAAGTCCTAAAATAGCTGATGTCACAGTTTTATTCAAAAAGCTGATCTTTTCAGCAGTCCGGTGCTGATGGGTACTTCCAGTATTCTCAGCATTCACAGGAGAACACTCTGAGCAGGCAAAGTGAGGCCAGTCCATCTGCTTAGAGGATTCGTTTTGCCAGCTCTCATGATCCCCTCGCTGCTGGTAAGCATTCTCTACATCCTGAGTGGGATCTGTGCCAGCTGCCATCTCTCCTGAACTGCCACACACTTCAGATCGGAATGCAGCTGCCGAAAGAATTTTCACATTCACCAAAGGAAGAGTGGGATTTTTTTTTTTCAATAAAATCACGGTTGGAAGGGGTTTAACACTGCAAGTGTTGCTTATACGAACTGTCGGTTCGTTCGGTGGATTTCCCTCAAACCCTGCCCCGTCCCACCCTCCACTTCTGCCCCGTGCCCACACCAGCAAATACGAACAGAGACCGTGCCTCCAGAGTCCTTTGTTTATATCATAGGAAAACCACAGACTTGGGAACGCAGCAGCTGGGAGGCCATTACTTTTTGTCTGAGTCTTCTGGAGTTCTAGCAAAATAAAATCCATGTGATGGAAATAAACAAGCCAAGTGGTCACAAATTGATTCAACACACATTCTGTGTTCTTGATGCCTGCATCCTGTTTTGTGTAGTTTCTTCTAGGATTTAAAAAAACTTTTGTGATAATGGTTATTTCTGTCTCTGATTCTATCATTTTTGCTGCTGGTTAAACAGTTCAGTTCAGACCCTGCCCAGCACAGTGCTGGGAGCTGCAAGGCTCAGAAAGGCATAAACCCTTGGCTAAGGTGTTTAGATTCCAGTAGCTGAGGGCAAGAGATGTGTAAGATGACAGCAATACCCAGTAACTTTAATATAAGAGATGAGGAAATCAGTGCCATAAGAAAAGTACAAAATACACCCTTTTTAAAGAGGGAGGAGTTCATATCCAGGTGGGGAGGCAAAGAAGGCCCTCGTAAGGAAGTGGTGTTTGAAACAGATGAGGGCGAAATTCTGAATGAGTTTGTGATTAGTAGGGCAGTTCAAACAGGGTGAAAACATGAGTAAAGAGAGGTTAGGGAAGCTAAAGAGCTTGGTTCAAACTGCCAATCTCATTCAACATCCCAGGGGCTCCTCAGGCTACTCCTGTACTTGGACTGACAGAGTTAAGATTGGAAACGAGACTGTCCTCAAGGAGTCTATACCCTGCTGGGAAGAAAACTGAGAACAACCAATACTGTAAATAAGTGTATCTTATAAATGTCAGAAGGACTGTTGGCTGGCCAAAGTGGAGTGTAGTCGTTGGATATTTCCAGAAGGACTGTTGGCTGGCCAAAGTGGAGTGTAGTCGTTGGATGATTCCAGAAGGACTGTTGGCTGGCCAAAGTGGAGTGTAGTTGTTGGATGATTCCAGAAGGACTGTTGGCTGGCCAAAGTGGAGTGTAGTCGTTGGATATTTCCAGAAGGACTGTTGGCTGGCCAAAGTGGAGTGTAGTCATTGGATGATTCCAGAAGGACTGTTGGCTGGCCAAAGTGGAGTGTAGTCATTGGATGATTCTGAGTTGACGGAAGGAGACTTCCTTGACAAGAGGGATTGAGCCTGGCAACTTGGTTAAGTCATTTTCCTGGGAGACCTCATTCTCATGGAAGGCATCCCATGGCCTCTTCCTTGGTTGGCATATAGAGCTTTCATTATCTATCTCTTTACTCCACTGCTAGGTCAGTTTCTGCCGCTCACTCCGGAGTATGTGCCCTGTTCTCCAGTCGCAGCCATGTTTACTTCCCTGAATGCATATTGCTCTTTTGCGGCTTCCATGCCTTTTCTCATTTTATTCTTTCTGCCCAGAATTTTCTTCCTGCTATCGTCTGCCCAAGGAGCACGTCCTTTAAGATCAAGTTCAAATGTCTGTCCCCATTTAAAAACCTGAGGTATAATTCATATACCACAGAATTCACCCTTTTAAAGTATACAGTTGGCCAGGAGCAGTGGCTCACTCCTTTGGGAGGCTGAGGAGTGCAAATCATCTGAGGTTAGGAGTTCGAGGCCAGCATGGTGGGACCCTGTCTCTATTAAAAACACAAAAAATTTGCTGGACATGATGGCACACACCTATAGTCCCAGCTACTCAGGAGGCTGAGGTAGGAGAATCTCTTGAACCTGGGAGGCCGAGGTTGTAGTGAGCCAAGATTGCAGCACTGCACTCCAGCCTGGGTGACAGAGTGAGACTCTATTTTATAAATAAATAAATAAAGTGTACAATTTAGTTGTTTTTAGTATATCCACAATGTCATGAAACCACCACCACCATCTAATTCCAGAACATCTTCATTACCCCAAAAAGAAACCCCGTACCTCTCAGCAGTCATTCTACATTCCCCTGACAACCATTAGCCTACTTTCTGTCTCTATAGATTTGCCCCTCCTGACATTTTGCATACCTAGAATCATATGGCATGTGGGACATCTTGTGCTTGGCTTTCTTCACTTAGCGTAGTGTTTTCAGGGCATGTGCATGGTGGGGCATGTGTCAGCACTCCATTCCTTTTTGTGGCTGAGTAACATTCCATCATATGGATAGACCACATTTTGTTTATTCATTCGTCTATTGGACGTTTGAGTTATTTCTACTTTCTAATTTTGAATAATGCTGTGAACATTCATGTACAATTTTTCGTGTGAACATGTTTTCAGTTCTCTTCAATATGTACCTAAAGGCCAGGCGTGGTGGCTCATGCCCGTAATCCCAGCACGTTGGGAGGCCGAGGTGGGCAGATCACCTGAGGTCAGGAGTTCAAGACCAGCCTGGCCAACATGGCGAAACCCTGTCTCTAATAAAAATACAAAAATTAGCCGGGTGTGGTAGCGTGCGTGCCTGTAATCCCAGCTACTTGGGAGGCTGAGACAGGAGAATGGCTTGAACCTGGGAGGTGGAGATTGCAGTGAGCCAAGATTGCACCACTGCACTCCAGCCTGGGTGACAGAGGGAGACTCTGTCTCAAAAAAAAAAAAAAAAAAAAAAGGATCTAAGGGACCTAAGGAATGGAACTGAAAGAGCCGTATGGTCAATTTATGTTTAACATTTTGAGAAAGTGCCACACTGTTTTCTGAAGTGACTGTGCCGTTGTACCTTTCCACAGCAAAGTGTAAGGAATCCAGTTTCTCCACATCTTCTCCCACACTTGTTTTCCTTTTTTAATTATAGCCATTTTCGTGGGTGTGAAGTGGTATCTCATTGTGATTACAGTTTGCATTCCTTGCATGACTAATATGTTGATCACCTTCTCAGATGCTACTGGCGATTTGTATATTCTCTTTGAAGAAATGAGAATTAAATGTTTTGCCCATTTTAAAATTGGGTTGTCTTTCTGTTGTTGAATTGTAAAAGTTCTTTTTATATCTGGATACTAGACCCCTTATCAGATATGAAATTTGTAAATATTCTCTCCCATTCTGTGGGTGGGTTGCCTTTTCACTTTCTTGATAATGTCCTTGATTTTCTGAAGTTGGTATATCGTGTGTGTGTGTGTGTGTGTGTGTGTGTGTGTGTGTGTGTGTGTGTGAGATATCTAAGATACCATTGCCTGATCCAGAATCATAAAGATTTACTCTGTGGTTTCTTCTAAGAAATTTAGGTCTTCACAAAAAAGAAAAAAAGGAAAAAAATGTAGGTCTTCAATCCATTTCGAGTTAATTTTTGCATATGGTGTGAGGCAAAGATTCAGCAGCATTCTTTTGCTGAAAGGATACTCAGCTTTCCCAGCACTATTTGTTGAAACGACTATTCTTTTCACATTGGATGATCTTGATACCCTCGTAAAAAATCAGTTAACCATAGATGTGTGGGATTATTTCTGGACTCTCAGTTCTATTCCATCTATCTGTATGTCCACCCTCAGGCCAGTACCACACTGTTTGGCTATAATAGCTTTGTAGTAATCTTTGAAATCAAGAAGTATGAGTCTTCCAACTTTGTTCTTTTTCAACACTGTTTTGGCTCTTCTAGGTCCCTTACAATGTCAGCATTTCTTGCCTCAGCCAGAGCATATTTATTTCTCTTTCAAGACACCATAGTACCTAGACTACCTTTCTGCTTTGTTATGTAATCATTTTTATGTCTTTGTCTTCCCTATTAAACTTTGAACAACTTGAGGGCTGTGTCTTATTCATTTTGGAAACCCGTGGCATGGCACAGTACTTGCTTAACTGTAGTATTCCCTGAATGACTTTGAAGGTAAAGAGGGAGCCAGGGAGTGGGAGAGAAAGAACCAAAGGACCACAAACACACTTTTGACCAAAGATTGGTAAACAAGTGAGACATAGATAACTCTACTGAGCAGAGGTAGCCAGGTGGAGCTGGTAGATGTAGAGTAGGAAACTTGGACAACTTTGTGAGAGACGGTGGGGTCATAGAATCCCTGAAACCTTTAGGTCCATAGCTGGTGCTGTTGAGGATGGAGTGATGCTCCTCAATGGCACCTGATAGCAGAAGGGCTTCTGACTTCAGCAGGTGGCATCCTGGAGCCGATTGAAGAGATGTGGGAATGAAGGAATACGAGCCCGCGGGGGTGTGGCCCTGAGTCCTGCTGCTAGACAAGGAGAGGGAAATGCAGAGCGGTAGTTTGCTAGATTCACATGCAGGTGCAGCCTTCTGCAGGCCAGGCCGAAGAAGGGGGAGGAAAATGTGATGAAAGTCAGGTGGTCCCTCTGAAACTCTGACTTTGAGATTCCAGTAGTGTTGCTGATGAGTTACAGCAAAATTAACTTCTAGACCACGTTTCCTTCCCATAGTGTTATTTTCTTTCTTTCATAAAAAAATTTCTTCACTCTGTTGCCCAGGCTTGGGTGCGGTGGCATAATCATAGCTTACTGCAGCCTTGACCTCCTGGGTTCCAGTGATCCTCTCACCCTAGCCTCCCAAATAGCTGGTACTACTGGCGCACACCACCACACCTGGCTAATTTTCTTGATTTTTAGTAGAGATGAGGTCTTGCTATGTTGCCCAGGCCAGTCTCAAACTCCTGAGCTCTAGTGATCCTCCCACCTCGGCCTCCCAAAATGCTGGAATTACAGGTGTGAGCCACTGTGCCTGGCCTCCATATTGCTTATTTTCTTAGATAACCTGTATGAGTTGATAATAAGTTACTATTTACTGAGCACTTACCAGGAATTGGAACCCAATTAATTTCATTCTAACAATAAATTCATCAGATGGCTATGCTATTTCCCCTTTTCACAGATAAAGAAGCTGAAACAGAGACATTAAATCACCTGCTCCAGATCTTTTAGCTACTTGGGAGGCTAAGGTGGGAAGGTCACTTGAGCCTGAGAGGCAGAGGTTGCAGTGAGCTGTGATCACGCCACCACAGTGCCTCTTTATGCAGGATTGTGGCATGCCATACAGAGAGAGTGAGTAAGTCTTTTTGGCAAATGTGGCAACTGAGGCAAAATCAGCTTAAGTAACCTGCCTAAAAGTGGAAGAGCCTCGGCCTCCTAAACTGCTGGGATTGCAAGCATGTTGCCATCGTGCCCGACCAGATGTTTTTGAAAAAAGGAATAAAATTTAAATCACCATAATTTCAATTAGTTGATACATTTCTGTCAGCATGTGCCCAGTCCTGGTGGGTCCACACGAGTGTTCATGCTGATATGATTATGAGTTCTTCAAGCATTCACCATCATCATGGTGTATATTCATCTCCAGCTTTTCTTGATCTGACACCAGGACTTTTCTACAGTGGAGAAGATGTGTTGAACAGCCAACCCACATATTCCAATCTGCGTTGAATATTTTTCCCTGAAAACTAATGAACTTTCCTTCTGGTATCTTCTTTCCTTCCTTCCTCCCTTCCTCCCTCCCTCCCTCCCTGCCTTCCTCACTCCCTCCCTCCCTCCCTTCCTCCCTCTCTCCGTTCCTCCCTTCCTCCCACTCTCCCTTCCTTCCTTCTTTCCTCTCTCCCTCCCTTCCCCTGTCCCCTCCCCTCCCTCCAGACTCCCTTCCCTCCCTCCAAACTCCCCTCCTTCCCTCCCTCCTTCCCTCCTTCCCTCCCTCCCTCCCTCCCTCCCTCCCTCCCTCCCTTCCTTCCTTCCTTCCTTCCTTCCTTCCTTCTCTTCTTCATATTATGCCCAAAGCCATATAACTTATAATAGTGAAGCTAGAAGTAAAACTAGTTCTCCTGATTCTGGAAAAAGTAGTTATTTGGAGTGTTTTGGTGGAAATACAAAGGATTCTATCTTTTAGATTTAAATCCTACAAATCCTTAGAAATGAGTATGTCTGGTTATGCCCCTGTACGTAGGATAGAGAGCCGTGGGCTCCCTAGCAGGGGCTGTTGGTCTCATGGTCCCCGCCTCTCTCCGTGCCTTTTCCTAGGGCTGCTCACATCACTCAGGTAAATAAATCCAAGTCTCTGTTCAGAAGCAAACACACCTAGTGTTTTGCCTATTAATGGTAGTTTTAGGAAAAAACAGAAACTGAATAAATTAAATTTTCTTACCGTCTGGCACATAATTTATATTAGGTTTCAGGATTGTGAACATGTACCCATTTAGGAGGCTGCGTTATAATCCCCCAAAGACACTTTGAAACAGGTAGAAGAGTTCTCAAGTCTGTTCTCATTTTCCTCAGTCATTAAAATGCAGATCTGTTTCAGAAGGACCATGGAAAGCCACAGCTAAGAAATCCTCAAGTTCACTTCTACGTTGAATCAAGACAAGTCTGTTCTCATTTTCATTTTCCTCAGTCATTAAAATGCACATCTGTTTCAGAAGGCCCACAGAAAGCCATGACTAAGAAACTGTCAAGTTCTACCTAGAATCAAGACACAGCTTTCTTTTTCATAAAAAAGATTTTTCCCATTATGACAAAACTAAATCACTTCCATTTTAGAAAAATGCAGATTTTTTTTTTTTTTTTTTGACAGAGTCTCGCTCTATCCGGCAGGCTGGAGTGCAGTGGCGTGATTTGTGCTTATGGCAACCTCCGCCTCCCAGGTTCAAGTGATTCTCCTGCCTCAGCCTCCCAAGTAGCTGGGATTGCAGGTGCCTGCCACCACACCCGGCTAATTTTGTATTTTTGGTAGAGACGGGGTTTCACAGTGTTGGCCAGGCTGGTCTCGAATTCCTGGCCTCAAGTGATCCACCTGCCTTGGCCTCCCAAACTGCTGGGATTACAGGCATGTTGCCATCGCGCCCGGTCAGATTTTTTTGAAAAAAAGAATAAAACTTAAATCACCATAATTTCAATTAATTGATACATATCTGAATTAATTGATAATTATCAGTTATCGAAATTTAGTGATTTTTAGTGATAGTGCAAGTATTCTTAAAATTATAACAGTAGCTAAAATTTACTGTGGAATTTATACGTGCTGCGAGACACTGTGTTAAGAGCATTCCATGCGTTATCTTTCAGTAATAGATTATAGATGTTACCATCATCCCAATTTTATAGACGAGAATACTGAGGCTCAGAGAAATTAGATGACTTGTCCCGGTCACCCCTTTAGAAGGTTGCACAGTGTCAGAAGTCAGACTGGCTGACTCAATTTCAGCATCTTAAGTACCATCTTAATGACCTTTCCTGCTAACTTAGCAGTTACGCTTCCTTAGGCAGGTCACTCGCTGTCCTCAATCCTGTTTCATCCTCATTTATTATTACTCACAAAGAGGAGTAATAATACCTCTTTCACTACATGATTCATTCATCAGGCAGCAAGGTCATGTGAAAATGTCAGGCACAGCACCTGTTACGTGGTAGGTGCTTGATAAACGTTCCTTCAGCGCCCAGTGCGTAGTAGGTGCTTGAGAAACGTTCCTTCAGTGCGTGGTAGGTGCTTGATAAACATTCCTTCAGCCCCTGGTGCGTGGTAGGTGCTTGATAAACGTTCCTTCAGCCCCTGGTGCATGGTAGGTGCTTGATAAACATTCCTTCAGCGCCTGGTGCGTAGTAGGTGCTTGATAAACGTTCCTTCAGTGCGTGGTAGGTGCTTGATAAACATTCCTTCAGTGCGTAGTACGTGCTTGATAAACATTCCTTCAGCCCCTGGTGCGTGGTAGGTCCTTGATAAACGTTCCTTCAGTGCGTGGTAGGTGCTTGATAAACGTTCCTTCAGCGCCCGGTGCGTGGTAGGTCCTTGATAAACATTCCTTCAGTGCGTAGTCGGTGCTTGATAAACATTCCTTCAGCCCCTGGTGCGTGGTAGGTGCTTGATAAACATTCCTTCAGCGCCCGGTGCGTGGTAGGTCCTTGATAAACATTCCTTCAGTGCGTAGTCGGTGCTTGATAAACGTTCCTTCAGCACCTGGTGCGTGGTAGGTGCTTGATAAACATTCCTTCAGTGCGTGGTAGGTGCTTGATAAACATTCCTTCAGTGCGTAGTAGGTGCTTGATAAACATTCTTTCAGCCCCTGGTGCATGGTAGGTGCTTGATAAACGTTCCTTCAGTGCCTGGTGCATGGTAGGTGCTTGATAAACATTCCTTCAGTGCGTAGTAGGTGCTTGATAAACATTCCTTCAGCCCCTGGTGCATGGTAGATGCTTGACAAACATTCCTTCAGTGTGTGGCAGGCGGTTGATAAACATTCCTTCATCTCTTTGGTCTCCACCTGATGCTCAGTGCCCTGCTGCACTTGCCGAAGGTACCTATAAATATAGCAGATGCTGCGGGAGTGAAAGCCCCACCAGGCATCAGAGTGAGAGTGAGCGTGTACGTGTGTGCCTGAGTAAAGTCTACAGCTTGAGGCCAACACCCCGGCAGCCTCAGTTATGAGACTTCAGTTGCCTGAAATGTTCCCAGAGCCCAGCTGTCTGAGTCTATGCTCTGTGTCTCTCTAATCCAGTGAAGAAGTAGGAATTTAAGTATTCACATTTTCAAGAAACCTCTTTCCAAGCTTCCTATAGCAATAGGAAAAAACAAGATCCACTGAAGCTAGTTGTGGAGCGCTGTTCTCTGGTCAAAGTTCCTGCTACAGTAGACTCTCTCTAGAAAGAGTGCTGACCCCCCAGCCCCACTGTGGAGCGTCAGTCAGAGCACATACTTCCTGCCCAGGCCGCAGAAGCTGGGCTCTGGGGACACTCTGGGCCCTGCAGTCTCTTCTTGTGGTGGTTAAACTAGGTCCCGGAGGCACTCATCATTCTTACTGTCTTCAAACTGTGTCTCATTTAGATAGTAGTACCAGTTGAACGCCATCTGTATTCAACTCTACCCAAGCCCCCAAAACAAAAAGCACAACAAGAAACAATTTTAAGTGTAGAGGGGTAACTTCTAAATGTCAAATGAAAAGTTTACCTGGAAAAGTTGAGGTCTCATTTCTACTGATGGCTTTTCATGATGTTTGTTCTTCCAATGCAAGGTACTGTTTGTTTCCTTTTTTGAAAGAGTTCTTTGGGCCAGGCGTGGTAGCTCACACCTGTAATCCCAGCACTTTGGGAGGCTGAGGCAGGAGGATTGCTTGAACCCAGGAGTTCAAGACCAGTCTGGGCAACACGGTGAGACCCCTGTCTCTACAAAAAGTAAAAAAGAAAAAAATATATTTTTTTAATTAGCTGAGCATGGTAGTGTACACCTGTGGTCCCAGCTACTTGGGAGGCAGAGCTGGGAGGATTGCTGGAGCCCAGGAAGTCAAGGCTGCAGTGAACTATGATTGTACCACTGCACTCCAGCCTGGGCAGCAGAGACTCTGTCTCAAAAAAAAATGAAAAATAAAGAGTCCTTTGCTTGATCACTATGTTTCATTAGCGTCTCCTTGAGAAACAGGCCTTACCTTTAACGAAGGCCTAGTTAAGTGCTTTTATTCTTTTTTTGGGCAGGGTGGCGGGGGCGGGTCGGGGGGGAAGTTGTCTAGCAAGCACCTTGTTGTGGGGTTTGGGCTTTAGATAGACCTGGTTGGGCTTTAGATAGACCGGGTTTGGGCTTTAGATAGACTTGGTTTGGGCTTTAGATAGACCTGGTTTGGGCTTTAGATAGACGTGGTTGTCCCAGCTGTGAAATTTTGTGCAAGATACCAAATCTCTTTGAGCTTTTTGAATTTCCTCATCTATAAGGTTGTTGTGAGAACTTAGTGAGATCATGTATGAATAGTAAATGAGACGACGTATGTTTAGGGCCATGCAAAGGGACCTGCGAAGTTCGGTCTTAATGTAGCTATCCTGGGCAGTTCAGGTTGTGACCCAAACCTTCAGTCACCCATGGGGGATGATGGCAAGCATCAGCCATCTGAGGCTGGAGTGCAGTGGTACAATCACAGCTCCCTGCAGCCCCAACCTTCTGGGCTCCAGTGACCCTCCTGCCTCAGCCTCCCTGGTAGCTGAGACTATAGGCGTGTGCCACATTTTTAAAAAATACTAAAGGTAAGGTCACCTTTTATTGTTTTCTAGTACTTTAAATCACTTTCTTAGTTGACTAAGCTGACTTAAGTTTAAAATCATGAATCCACTTGGCCTTTGCTAATACTTCTTTTAGCTTGACCAATGGAGTCATGACTGACCAGAGTATTAAAGCAAATCAGCTCTTTTCACATATATTCCAAATGTGGGCACATACTGACTTGGCCAGTGATCATCAAGAGGAGTTCGGTGACGAGCATGCGGAATAACCAGTGGGAAGTTGAAGAAATCCCAGGCCCCTGCTTGGTCTTGCTTCAGAGCTGCTTTGTAACTGGTGACAGAGCACGTCGCCACCTTCTTTCATGGAGGGCTGTCATGTTTAGATTATTGTTGATAAACCGTTTTGAGATTTTGAAATATACAAAGCTGCCAGCTTGGAAAGTAACAGTCATTGCTATGGACATGATTGGCTTTGGGGGCATCAAGCCCTCCCAGTTCGCTGTGTCTACCCAGAACATTCTGCTCCGAGTCCTGCTGCAGAGCCCAGGAAATGCTGACAGCACCTGTCAATTTTGGCCTCACCCTATGAGCTCATTTAAAATCACCCAGGATGCTCATTGTTTGGATGGGTCAAATCTTCAAAATCAAATGGAAAAAGAAGCCTCTTGCGTAAGATAAAAGATAATGAGGAAAACATTTCACATAACCAAAGCATTAGAATGTTAAGTCACTTCATATTAGACCTTTCTACTGTTTCTTCATTGTTTGTTTCTGTTTTTTCCCAGTAATAAATTAGAGTTCTTTTTCCTGTGTGGAGCCTGGTTATGAAACCTTGCATAAGACTCTTCATGTTTCTGGGCCTTGGCTTTCTTATCTGTGAAATGAAGATGGAGGTCCCTTCCTGCTTTTCTGTGGTTCTGTGTGTACACATCCCTAAAGCTTTTAGAATACAAATATCCGCTGATTTGAAAAAACATTAGGAGTCATTTGAGCTTCCCACAGCTGGAGAATCATCCACGTACGATGTGATTCTTTTAAACAAGCTCTCTCAGTATTGATTTTTTCCTTTCCCCAAGAGCTCTGTAAAAATAGTGTTTTCTTGCCAGAGACATCAGGGCCTCAGAACTACTGACTTCCTTCTATGAACATATTATATGGTTTGTGTTTGGCTTAGGATCTCTTTAACAGACCATCCAGCTCCATTGTGAGAGGCTGACTCAGCAGAGCCCTCCAGACCGTCCAGCTCCACTGTGAAAGGCTGACTCAGCAGAACCCTCCAGACCATTCCCACTCTTCGGGATTAGAATGCCCTTCCCTGCCAGCCCGGGGCAGGCTAGGAGCTGGTGCTGCACCCATCTCCTGCATGCACCCTTGGGGGATGGCACACTGCAGCATTGCCTCCTTCTGTTCCCAGGACTCAATGTTGCCAAGTGCCACGTAGTCCAAGAATCCCGCCAGTTTGCTATAGGTGTCTTCCAGAGCCTGTCGTTAGGGCTCAGGTTGAAGCAGGTCTGTCACTTTTGTTCACAGCTTGTTCAGGGACCACCTCGGTGCTCTCAGCAATGTTCTCTCCCCTGCGCCTGGCTCCTGGCCTGTTCCCCACGTCTCCATCTTACCCTCTGGTCCACCCTAGTGTTTGCCAGAGATTCTCTTTCCCTTCCCCTTATTGAAATCCTGACATAATCCCAAAGGTTTTAGGAGTGTAAGATTCTACACGCATACCTCTTCAAGTGTTTTATTATGGAAATTTTTGAATATATTCAAAAGTAGAGGAAACAGTGTGGTCAGCCTCTATGTACCTGTCACTCAGCTTCACGATCTTATTTCATCTGCACCTCTTCCCGGTAACTTCATATTATTTTGAAGCAACATCCCCACGTGTCATATCATTTCTAGTTTTCTGTGTTAAAGAATCCCAAACTCCTCCCAGTTGACTGGAGAGAAAGGTGTCTGTGAATTCCCCTCCAGGTTGCATGTCACTTAGTCCAGCCACCTCTCTCATCTCCCAGGCTGCCGGTCAGCTTGGGAGTCGGTGTCCCTCCCCGTTCTGCTGCAGTCCCCTGCTGTGGGGCACTCGGCAGGAGAACAGGATCCTTTACGAGTGGGTAGCTTAGCTGAGAAGGGAAGGCTGTTTCAGGCAGGTCGGGGACAAGGCAGGAAAAGGAAAGGGTCTGGGTCACACCTCACTGTCGGGTCCGCTGGGCACACTCGCATTTGTCCTGAGTATCAGTCCCTACAGAACGAATAAGAAACTCCCCAGGACAAAAGGGCCTGATTCCTGGGATACCAAAGCTGTGACCTGACTTCCACTCCAGCCCCTCCCTTCCCCAGTAACAGGCGACACCGTTCTCCTGCGAGGGATTCAACGCCTCATCCTTTCTCCCTTTCAGATGCAGTGGCAGAACGTGGAGCACGTTGGTGACCAGAGCCCCTACGTCACCTCTGTCATTCTGCACATCAAGCAGAACGTCCCCATCATCCGTGACAACCTGGCTTCCACACGCAAGTACTTCACTCAGTTCTGCGTTAAATTTGCAAAGTAAGTCCTGGGGCGTGCTCATCTCTGGGTTCTTGTTCTTTTTAATAGACTTTATGTTTTAGAACAGTTTCAGGTTCACAGCCAAATTAAGCAGCAAGCACAGAGATTTCCCGTGTACCTGACCCCCCCAACATGCACAGTCTTCCCATTACCGACACCTCCCCACACACAAAGTGGCACATTCGTTACAGTGGATGAACCTGCATCAACACGTCATTATCACCCGGACTCTGACGTCGCGCTGGACATTCCCTCGGTTTGGACAAATGTACAGTGACGTGTGGCCGCCATTTCAGTGTCATACTCAACTGGGTTGTTTTTAAAACCATACTTCCCACCAGCATCCTCACAATTTGAGTGTCCCCACCATCCAGCTGCGGTTTGTTCTGGTGCCTGCAGTACTGATTTTAATTTGTACACAAAAGAAGCATAATCATAAAACTAAATCTGCTACTTAAAGTCATAGGCAACAGTAACAGCAGTACAATTGCCAGCCACGTCAAGGCAAACAAAAATGAATGGGGCCTACTGTTGTTTTGAACTGTGCAGGCATAAGCTCTCCTTGCCCAGGATTGGATAATTAAAATTCTTTTTCAGGGATTTCATATATGCATTTTGTTTCTCTGACTGGCTTAATAAATGCCTCTTAAGGGTAGGAGCCATCGGTTCTGTTTCTTTTGAGCCTTCTTGTCCTCCCTCCCCCTGGTATTTTTTACCATGGCTGCTAGAATTTATCTATTCATACTTGGACACACTCTTGGTCCGAGGAAGGCACTAGAAATTGGGATGCACAAGCCAGGGAGCTCCCTGGCCAAGGCAGGTGAGTGCACCCTGAGCCGTGTGTCTTCCTGCTGTGTCTTGTGTGTGGCCATTTCTGCCCTGAGTTTTGAAGCGAGGAAATAGTTTAGTTCTTTGCCGATCACCATCTGGCTTAGCACCATTTTCCGTGATACCAGGTGGTGGTGAGGGTCAGTGTCTCCTCTGACCAGTTATCAAGCAAGCATTTTGGCAGACTTCTCAGGGAAGGGCTTCAGGAGGGTCAGCCCAGGCCAAGCTACTGTATTTGGGTTGTTCCCATCCAGGCCCCAGCTGGTGATTCAGGACTCCAAGTTTCTGTCTTCCCCCAATCTCTCCCAGTTTCCCTGTACCTCACAAATGAACCCCTCAGGACTAACAATTATGGAGCGGCTTGTGGTGTCAGCTTTACTTTCTAGTTTGTCAAGAAAGGATAGAGTGGACTCTCCAGGGAGGCATTAATGTTTGCAGATGGCAGATGGACCAGGAGGTGAAATTCCCTCACTCTCTGGGTGCTCATTAGTGTGTTAGAAATGTTGCTGATAAATCACATCGTGACGCTCCCCATAACTGCTGGTAGAAGCAGTGTCTCTGTAAAAATTTACTGTGACTCAAAATCTCCAGGGTGGCTGCTCCGGGGTCTCATTGAGCTTACGTTAAAGTGAAGGAGGAGTCCGTTGACTTAGCCAGTCCCAGCGTCTCCCAGCTCAGTCATATGATTGAGCTTACATTAAAGTGAAGGAGGAGTCTGTTGACTTAGCCAGTCCCGGCGTCTCCCTGCTCAGTCATATGATTGAGCTTACATTAAAGCGAAGGAGGAGTCCGTTGACTTAGCCAGTCCCGGCGTCTCCCAGCTCAGTCATATGATTGAGCTTACGTTAAAGTGAAGGAGGAGTCGGTTGACTTAGCCAGTCCCAGCATCTCCCAGCATCAGCCTCACATTCTCTCAGAGCCCTTGAGTTTCATTGCTAAGCCCAGGTTGAGTGCGCTGGGAATTGGATGCCCCCCCTCACATCTGTAATCATTCAGCCTGGGATCTAGGAAGTGGTTTTCTGTTTTCATCCATGGTGCCTTCTCATCCTGCTAAAATCCCGCTTAACAGAGGTGGGCTTGTGAGGAGACCCTTCCCTGGTCAAGGGCAGCAGCCACCACCGCCCTGATGGCCCAGAGAAGCCCTTGGCAGTTACCCAGCACATTGCTTGGTTTTTTCCCCACAGGACGTGTGTCAGGTCCTCATACTCCCCCCATCGCCACCTGTAGACTAGTATAGAGAGCCAGTTCAGGGGCACAGCCAAAGGTTTTTTTTTTTTTTTTTGATACAGGGTCCCACTCTGTTACCCAGGCTGGAGTGCAGTGGTGCAACCACAGCTCACTGCAGCCCCCATCTCCTGGGCTTAGGTGATTCTCCCACCTCAGCCTCCTGAATAGCTGGGATTACAGGCGCTCGCCACCCGGCCTAGCTCATTTTTCTATTTTTTGTAGAGATGAGATTTTGCCATGTTGCCCAGGCTGGTCTCAAACTCCTGGGCTCAAGCAGTCCACCTGCCTGGGCCTCTCAGAGTGCTGGGATTATAGGCATGAGCTGCCATGCCCAGTCCGGAGCATGTTCTAATGTGAAGCAACTTAGGTTACAAAGCGCTGTGTGCACAGCTGCCATTGGTCATGAGTTCAGTTTCATGTTGCTTGTCTGGCTCTGGTTTCCAGCACTGAGGAATTCCTTCCAAATAGCCCCTTGTTTACTCTCCTTCCTGATCACAAGCCACCTCCAGATCCGATCTCCGGACTCCAGTTTCCTCTCCCTCAGCTTCCTTTCTACCCCACCCCTGCAAAACCATAGATGTTTCCTTTTACCTCGTTTGCTGTCTTAAGCAATAGCAGCCTTTCCTGTTGAGACATCAAAATCCACAGCCTGGTTGAAACTGCAGTTGAACCACAAGCAACTTCCCTCATCCACTGAGCTGATCCTCCTCCCTTCAATCAAGGAGATAATGAGACAAATCTCATAATAGTGGTTGGGAAGATAAAATGAGAAGTCACATATTAACTTCCTGGTAAAGTGCTGATACCAAGCTGACATTCAAAAAGTGGTAGGTGGCTGGGCGCGGTGGCTCACGCCTGTCATCCCAGCGCTTTGTGGGGCCGAGGCAAGAGGATCACTTGAGGCCAGGAGTTCGAGACCAGCCTGGCCAACATGGTGAAACCCTATCTCTACTAAAAATACAAAAATTAGCTGGGTATGCTGGTGCGTGCCTGTAGTCCCAGCTACTCAGGAGGCTGAGGCACCAGAATTGCTTGAACCCAGGAGGCAGAGGTTGCAGTGAGCCAAGATGGTGCCACTGTACTCCAGCCTGGGTGACAGAGCGAGACTCTGTCTCAAAAAAAAAAAAAAGTTTATGATTTACTCAATGTGCATTCACTTGAGCATCTCCTATGTCTCAGACCCAGAGTTAAATGTTTTGGCCTGATAAACATGGCCCCCATCTTCGTTTGCCTTAATAGTCAGGTGAAGCAAAATAGACATGTAAGCAAATGAGCATAATGAACTAGGTTAGATGTGAGGGTGGAGGCCTGCAGACTCCATGTAGAGTATGGCGAAGGCAGCAGAAGAAAGGCTTTCTAGAGACGCCGTTGAACAGGATCTGAGAGGTGCGTGTGTACTGACCCACAAGCCCCTTCTAGGAAAGGCAGTCCAGGCGAGGGAGCAGTGTAGGCATTAAATAGCCCCCAGAATCCTGGGATCTGCAAGTGGCTCAGTTGGGTTGAAGCATAGGGAGGCCAGGGCTTAGCAGGATGAGGCTGGAGACAGAGAATGAAGAATCAAGGAAGCCTGGCCCAGTGGCTCACGCTTGTAATCCCAGCACTTCCGGAGCCCAAGGGAGGAGGACTGCTTGAAGCCAGGAGTTTGAGCCCAGCCTGGGCAGCATAACGAAATCCTGCCTCTACAAAAAAATTAAAAAGTAGCCAGGTGCGGTGCCTGTAGCCCTTACATCCAGTCTGATTGGGCTAGCTTCGATCATATTCCCTCTCAGGACAAACAACAGTCACCAAAGGAATGCTGTGCTCTGACGAGCTGAGAATAGTTAGAGTTCACTGGGAGTCTAGGATGGGATCCGGTTTTCCCGGGCCTGCCAGGGCCTCATGTAACTAAACAAAACCAGGACTTCACTCAGAAGAAAAATAAGATAATGGGCAACAGTGGAGTCCACTTCGATTCTTCATTAAAAAAGGTTTTTTCATGGAGATACGTGGAACCTTAAAGTTTTTGCATTTCTTTCCTCAAGAGAGAATAAGCCTAATTTGTCACTTCTTTTTTATCCACAGCTCCTTCATTCCCAAATTCATCACCCACCTCTTCAAGTGCAAGCCAATTAGCATGGTGGGAGCAGAACAGGTGAGATGGACGTAGTATCAGGCATTTGCCTGGCAGCTTTTGTTGTAGATCAAGCACATATTCTTCTAGTCCAGATCTACTTGGCAGGAATAAAATTGATGATGTCCCCTGTTTGGGGACAGTATAATGACTCACCCGGAAGGTTTCTTAATTCGTTCTTCCATTTATTTTTAAAAATTTTGTTTGAACGCCTACTAAGTTCTGGGTGCAGGGTATAACACAGCAAGCACCATGGAAAGGTCCCTGCTCCTAGTGCTCACACTCCAATAAGAAGAAGTGGCTGGGCCGGGCACAGCGGCTCACGCTGTAACCCCAGCATTTCGGGAGGCCTGGGCAGGCAGATCACCTGGGGTAAGGAATTTGAGAGCAGCCTGGCCAACATGGTGAAATCCCATCTCTACTAAAAATACAAAAATTAGCTGGGCATGGGGGCAGGCTACTGGGGAGGCTGAGGCAGGAGAATCACTTGAACCCGGGAGGTGGAGGTTGCAGTGAGCCGATATCACACCACTGCACTCCAGCCTGGGTGACAAAGTGAGACTCCATCTCAAAAAAACAAACAAACAAAAAAACTAGCAAAAAACTTGGAATATTGGCCGGGCATGGTGGCTCACGTCTGTAATCCTAGCACTTTGGGAGGCCCAGGCAGGCGGATCATCTGAGGTCAGGAGTTCGAGACCAGCCTGGCTAACATGGTGAACCCTGTCTCTACTAATAATACAAAAAATTAGCCGGGCGTGATGGTGGGCGCCTGTAATCCCAGCTACTCGGGAGGCTGAGGCAGAATTGCTTCAACCCAGGAGGTGGAGGTTGCAGTGAGCTGAGATCACACCACTGTACTCCAGCCTGGGCAACAAGAGCGAAACTCCATCTCAAAAAAAAAAAAAAAAAAAAAACAATTAGCCAGGCGTGGTGGTGCATGCCTGTAATCCCAGCTACTTGGGAGGCTGAGACAGGAGAATCACTTGCAGGTGGAGGTGGAGGTTGCAGTGAGCTCAGATCACGCCACTGCTCTCCAGCCTGGGCAACAGAGTGAGACTCCATCTCAAAAAAAAAAAAAAAAAAAAAGAATAAATCCCAGTGATGGGAGGCTGAGATGGGAGGATCACTAGAGGCCAGGAGTTCAAGACCAGCCTGGGCAACATAGTGCAACCCTATCTCTCAAAAAAAATAAAACATTAGCTAAAAAACGGTCCACACCTGTAGTCCCAGCTGCTCAGGAGGAGGCTGAAGTCGGAGGATTCTTTGAATCCAGGCTGAAGTGAGCTATGATCGTGCCGCTGCACTGAAGCCTGGGCAACAGAGTAAGACACCATCTGCCCCACAAAAAAAAAAAGAGTCTTTTAATGATTATAGTAAGCTCAGACCCAAAGCCAATATCTTCAGAAAAATATCAGTTCATCCAGTGCTTACATCCATTATTGTTATTATTTTTTAACAAACCCACAGCCAACATCCTATGTTTACTTCCGTTTTGAGGTGTGGATGAGAAAACCATCTGCTGGAACTGGAGTTTTACTTAATCAGACCCCAGGCCAGTTCAGGTGGGCAGTAGGGGAGTGTGGATCTTGACAGGCCCAGAATGGGGAGGGTGTGGGTGGGAACTACAGGGCAACGTGGCCCCTGAACGATTCTCACATGAGTTGAGGTTTGGCTGGGCCTGTACTTGCCCTGATGTCTGGGCCTTGAAACTCAAGCAGCCATGTAGCTGCAGGCGTGTTCACTCAGGCAGCAGAACCATCAGAATCAAGTTAACTCAGCAGTGTTCATAGACTGAAACAGACGCTGCCTCCAGTAGTGGAGCAGCTGCCATCCAAACTTGAACAAAAGCTATGGCATTGGAAGCTAAGATTTAGCCCAACCTCAGCTGTGTCTGCCTTGCCACAAGGGTGCCAGATCCTAAATTAGGTTTTGCTTTAATACTTATGCTGAAAATGGGATGGGAGACATTTTTCTGCTCTTTGTTCTCTGAGTACTATATAAAGTGAGTTCTTTATCTTTGGGCCCCAGAGTCCTCGAGCAATTGCAAGGGCACGTGGAACTGACCCACACCAATATTGATCATGCTTCTTGCTAGTTTATGATCTTCAGATCATCCTGTTTTGCAGGGTCACTAATTATTCTTATGACTGCGTTCACCTATGAAAGCTTTTCTTTCCCTTGAGATTAAGGATAAGAGGAGAATGTCCGCTGTCACCATTTCTATCCCACGTTGTTGTTGAAGTCCTGGCTAGGACAACAAGGCAAAAAATACAATATTTTTAAAAGAAACAAAATATATACAGATTAGAAAGGAGGAAACTAAGCTGTCATTTTTCATGGAAAATATGATTATGAGTAATAAATCTAAAAGGATCTACAGATAAACTGTTAGAATATAAATTTAGCAGGCCGGGTGCAGTGGCTTACACCCTTAATCCCAACACTTTGGGAGGCCGAGGCGGGCGGATCACAAGGTCAAGAGTTAAAGACCAGCCTGACCAACACAGTGAAACCCCCGTCTCTACTAAAAATACAAAAATTAGCTGGGCAAGGTGTGGTGCGCCTGTAATCCCAGCTGCTCGAGAGGCTGAGGCAGGAGAATTGCTTGAACCTGGGAGAACTGCTTGAACCTGGGAGGTTGCAGTGAGCTGAGATTGCGCCACTGCACTCCAGCCTGAGTGATAGAGACTCCGTCTCAAAAAAAAAAAAAAAAAAAGAATATAAATTTAGCAAGGTTGCTGGCTATAAGGAAAGTGTTTTAAAATATATTTCTATATACCAGCAGCAAACAATTTAAAAATGAACATTTTTGAGTGAAATACTTTTTTTTTTTGCTGTATTGCCCAGGCTGGAGTGAGTACAGTGGCACAATCATAGCTCACTGCAGTCTCAATTCGTGGGCTCAAGCCATCCTCCTGCCTCAACTTCTCAAGTATCTGGGACTACAGGAATGTACTACCATGCCTGGCTGGCTCTTTTTTTTTTTTTTTGGTAGATATAGGGTCTGCCTCCCTGTGTCTCCCAGGCTGGTCTCAAACTCCACCCTCCTCAGCCTCCCAAAGTGGTGCGATTACAGGCGTGAGCCATGGCTCCCAGGCCTAAATGAAATCATTTACAATAACATCAGGAAACATTAAATACCTAGGAGTAAATTA
This sequence comes from Homo sapiens, assembly GCF_000001405.40. Lineage (NCBI taxonomy): Eukaryota > Metazoa > Chordata > Mammalia > Primates > Hominidae > Homo > Homo sapiens. Next base: position 529,704 of record NC_000017.11, on the reverse strand, counting down.
AAAATGTACAAGTCTTCTACACAGAAAACTGTACAATATTAAGACACAGAATCCATAAAGACCTTTAAAATGACAGGATAGCTCATGTTCATTGATAAGAAAGACTCAAAAAGAAATACATATGGAGTCTTTCTGAGCCTGCTCTGGCTGAGGAGGCTGCCCAATAAAAAATAAATAACAATTTAAAAAGCGGCAAATTATTCCAAAATTAATCTATAGATAGAATTCAATCCTAATTACTGTATCAATTTATCTATAGATACAGTAGAATCCCAGCAGGGGTGTGTGTGTGTGTGTGTGTGTGTGAGTGTGTGTGTGTGAATTGATATGCTGATTTTAAAAGTTAGATGAAAATACAGAAGACAACAGCCAAAATAATCTTAGAACAGAATTGGAGGAGTTAAAGCTCAGGATATCAAGACTTATTGCAGCAGTATTGTAATTAGAGCAGTGTGGCACTGGCCCCAGGGACAAAGAGGCCAACAGAACAGATCTGAGCTGAGGGATAGACCCACACATGTGTAGATACTTGATTTATGACCAAAGTGGCATCATTCAAAGAGAGTCTTTTCAGTAAATAGTGCTGGGTAATTGGATATCCATATCGGAAAAAAATCTTGACCTTTGCCACACACCATATATAAAAATCAATTCCAAAGAGGATTTGGTGAAATTAGAACACTCATACATTGCTGGTGGTAATGCAAAACGGTACAGCCATTTTGGAAAACAGTTTGGCATTTACATAGAGTTACCACAGGGCCCAGCAATTATACTCCTAGATATATACCCAAATGAATTGAAAAAGGCAGGGTGCATGGTTCACACCTGTAATCCCAGCACTTTGGGAGGCTGAGGCAGGCAGATCACCTGAGGTCAGGAGTTCGAGACCAGCCTGGCCAACATGGTGAAAACCCACTTCTACTAAAAATACAAAAATTAGCTGTACATGGTGGTGTGCACCTGTAACTCCAGCTACTCGGGAAGCTGAGGCAGGAGAATCACTTGAACCTGGGAGGCAGAGATTGCAGTGAGCCAAGATTGCGCCACTGTACCTTCAGGCTGGGTGACAGGGTGAGACTCTGTCTCAAAAAAAAAAAAAAAAAAAAGAATTGAAAAAAAAATGTGTTCACACAAAAGCTTGTACACAAATATTCATAGCAGCACCATTTATAATAGCCAGAAAGTAGAAACAACTCAAATGTCCATCAGCTGATGATAAACAAAATGTGGTCTATCCATACAAGGGAATATTACTCAGCCATTAAAAGGAATAAAGTACCCATTCATGCTACAACATGGAAGAGCCTTGAAACCATGTTAAGTGAAAGAAGCCAGACACAAAAAGCCACCTATTGTGTGACTCTGCTTCTGTGAAATGTCCAGAACAGGCAAATCCGTAAAACAGAAAGTGGATTAATGGTTGGCAAAGGCTGAGGGAGGGGGAGATGGGAATGGCTGCTAATGGGTAAGGGTTTCTTTCTGGGGTGATAATGTGTTCTGAAACCAGATAATGCTGACAGCTGTACAACCTTGTGAATAGACCTTAAAAACCACTGAATTGTACACTTCCAAAAGGTAAATTTTATGGTTTTTGAATTATATCTCCATTTTTAGAAAATTAATCCCAGATGGATTATGGCTCTAAAAAATAAGGCAATAAAGCTTCTGGAAGATTTAATATAAGACAATATGTTTATGACCTTGGGTTAGGCAAAGATCCCTTAAACAAAACATTAAAAGCACTAACCATAAAAGAAAAGATTGGTTATTTTGAGTACTTAAAAGACTTTGGCCAAGTGCGATGGCTTGTGCCTGTAATCCTAGCACTCTGGGAGGCTGTGGCAGGAAGACTGCTTGAGCTCAGCAGTTTGAGATCAGCCTGGGCAACACAGCGAGACCCCATCTCTACAAAACAATTTAAAAATTAGCCAAGTGTGGCACGTGCCTGTAGTCCTAGCCACTCGGGAAGCTGAGACAGGAGGATCAGTTGAGCCAAGGAGTTCAAGGTTGCAGTGAGCTATGATTGCACCACTGCATTCCAGCCCAGGTGACAGAGTAAGACCCTGTCTCTAATCATAATAATAATTTAAAAGAGTGATGATACCAAGTGTTGGTAAGGATGTGGAGCATCTGGAACTTTCATATGTGCTGGTAGAAATGGAAGTTAGCCCAGCCACATTGGAAAACTCCTAGGCAGTTAGCCAAACATATGCCTACCCCATGATCCAGCAGTTCTACTCTTGAGTAGCTTCCACCCTAGAGAAATGAGGACTTTATGACCACCAAAGGCATGCGCACGAATGTTCACAGCAGGTTTATGAGCAGGAAACAAGCTACAGTGAGAGAGAGCAGGAGAGACGAATGTTCACAGCAAGTTTATGAAGCAGGCAACTAGCTACAGTGAGAGAGAGTAGGAGAGACGAATGTTCAGAGCAGGTTTATGAGCAGGCAACTAGCTACAGTGAGAGACAGCAGGAGAGTTTGTTGAGAGGGAAAGGAGAGCATTGACTGGACGAGAGCATGAGGAAGGCTTCAGGGATGCCAGAAGTGTGCTCTGTCTTCCGTTAGGCAGCAGGATGTGCACATGTCTGGATGTTGATCAAATGGCATACGTGGTGTTTGTGTACTCTGTGAAAGTTATACCTAATTTTTTTAAAAAGAAAAAGAAATAGAACATGTGTCCACCTTGTTCCATCCCTCCTGATAGCCTGAGCTGTCTCCCCTGTGCCACCTCATTGAAGAATTTTCTATGGTGGGACCAATATGGTTCACCTATGTGGTTTTGTTCACATGGTTCTTTGTCTTCTAGGAGTGTGGGCCTGTATCTTATTTACGCAAAATTTTCATCACTGTTGATAGTCATCATGTCCCCAAGAATTGTAGGAGGCTCCTCGGGAAGTAAAGGGCCCCTCTCAAAGATTTCCATTGCTGGGTGATCAGCCTTCACAGGCATGGCATACTGGCCACCCTTGCACCCCCACATCCCATCAACAACATTAGCCAGCCCACACTGCCCCAGAAATTATCGCTGAGGCAGAAATGAATGTGGCAATAGCCACCCCTTGCCCAATGTCTCATGCCTAAGAAGATGAATTATCAACTATTTCAAAGTTGAAAACTAGCAGATTTTCATGATAAATGGGACCTTTCTGTCTTGTCTTTGCACAGACAGCCGCCAAATCTGTCAGGCTCATTCCCGCCTTTTCTGACTGCCTTGCTTTATGTATAAAACCTGAGACCAGGGTTTTCACCTCTCAGTGTCTGGTAAAGACAGAATTTTATGGTGACTGGCCAGGGAATGAAAGTGTCATATCTCCCTGTATATGAGGGACACTAGAGAATTATGCCTGGTGCATTCAAACCCTTCCTGTCATTTAAGACTGTACAATTATTTATGCATATAATGTATCTCTGGGAAGTAGAAAAGTAGGAAATATCTCCATATGCTTTAAAATATAATGACTGATTTTTTTTTTCCTACCAACAAATGAATGCTAAGACATGGCTTTGATTTTGACAAGGCTCTCAAAATTTGCTACATGGAAGACAGAGTTGAGTCCTGAATGGTAGTCTTTAAACAAAAATTCCAGTTAATTAATGTACAGAAAATAATGTAAAAAACAGTAACTAACTACTCAGCTCAGCAAAATATGTAACATGTTTCCACATTTACTTTACATCTTTTTTTTTTTTTTTTTTTTTTTTGAGAAAATGTCTCACCGTGTTGCCCAGTCTGGAGTACAATGGCGCGATCTCGGCTCACTGCAACCTTCACCTCCCGAGTTCAAGCAATTCTCCTGCCTCAGCCTCCCGAGTAGCTGGGATTACAGGTGTGCACCACCATATCTGGCTAATTTTTGTATTTTAGTAGAGATGGGGTCTCACCATGTTGGCCAGGCTGGTCTCAAATTCCTGACCTTAAGTGATCCTCCCACCTCAGCCTCCCAAAGTTCTGGGATTGCAGGCATGAGACACCGCGCCTGGCCCATTTTTTTTTTCTTTTCTTAAGAGACAGGGTCCCACTCTGTCTCCCAGGCTGGGGTGCAATGGTGCCATCATAGCTCACTGCAACCTGGAATTCCTGGGCTTAAGCCATCTTCCCACCTCAGCCTCCTAAGTAGCTGAGACTACAAGTGTGTGCCACTGTGCCTGTCTAATCTTATTATTTTTGTTTTTGTAGAGACAAGGTCTCACTGTGTTGCCCAGGGTAATCTTGAATTCGTAGCCTCAAGTGATCCTTCTGCCTCAGCCTCCCAAAATGCTGGGATTACAGGCATGAGCTGCCACACCCTGCCTGCTTTAGATCATTTTTATGTAAAGTAAATCATTACAGTTATTGCTGAAGACCGCCCCCATGAACCCCACCCTGCCCATCTCTTCCTCCATGCCCCAAAGTAAACACTGTCCTGATTTTGATTTTATTCTCATATGTGTTTTGATATATGTGTATATATTCACAAATGATATATGATTTTGTTTTGCATATTTTAAAACTATATAAATGGCATTAGACATATCATTTCCCCACTTGCTTTTTTTTGCCCAACTTACTATTTTCTGAGATTTATGCATGTTAATGCATGCTGTGTGCACCCATTCATTTTCACCTCAGCAGCATATTCCATTGCACGAATGTGCTGTCATTTGTTTATTCATTCCACTGTCAATGGACGTGTAGGTTGTTTCCAAACTTTTGCTTTTATAAATAGCGGATGCAGGGAACGTTTTTACATGGGCAAGAATTCCTCTAATGGATATAAGTATTAATGCTGTGTTATGGGTGATACACATCTCCAGCTAAGGAAATGTTGCTAAATTTCCCCCAACGTGCTTGAACTAACTTCTACTGTCACCACTAGTCTGAATTTCAGTGTGGCCGTGCCCACACTAGATTATCAACCTGTTTACTTCTGACTCTGATGGGTGTATTACGGTGTACATTTGTGAATTTCAGTGCCATGGCCGTGCCCACACTTGATTATCAAATAATCTGTTTACTTCTGACTCTGATGGATGTATTATGGTGTACATCTGTGGTTTTAATTTGCATTTCCCAGTTACTAACCAGGTTGCGTGTCATTTCATATGCCTTTCGGGCATTTGAGTTTCCTCTTTTGTGAATCCGGTGTTAGTATTGTTTGCCTGTTGTTGTGTCGCTGTTGGGATAGTTTGTGCTTTTCCTGTTGATGTGTAGGAATCTTCATGTTCGGAACCCCGTTCCCTTGTCAACGTTGCACGTATCTTCTCCTGATTTATGTCTTGTCTTTTACTTTGTTTGTTTCTTCTGATATAGATGCCTTTCATTTTAGGGTAGGTGGTTCATTCTTTCTGATGTTTGACATTCTTCTCCACCCATAAGCAATGAAAATAATCTCTGTATTTTCTTCTTCTTCTTCTTTTTTATTTTTTATTTTTTATGTATTTATTTTTTTGAGACAGTGTCTTGTTCTGTCACCCAGGCTGTAGCGCAAACCTCCCAGGTTCAAGCAATTCTCCTGCCTCAGCCTCCCGAGTAGCTGGGATTACAGGCATGCGCCACCACACCCGGCTAATTTTTGTATTTTTAGTAGAGATGGGGTTTCTCCATGTTGGCCAGGCTGGTCTCGAACTCCTGACCTCAGATGATCCACCCGCCTCGGCCTCCCAAAATGCTGGGATTACAGGCATGAGCCACTGCGCCCTGTATTTTCTTCTTAAAGTTTTTCTTTTTTATATCTAAGAATTTAATCCACCTAGAATGCTTTAGAGGCTTGTTCTGGGTTCCTCCGAGGAAAAGCAGCAGTCATTTCCACTGGAATTCTGGAAAGTGCGCTAACGCCAGGCTCTTCACGTGGGCCTTGAGCAATCAGTGCCATTCCCCCTCCTGGAGGTTTGCATACCCTTTTCTCTGAGCCCTTGGCCTTTTCAACAAAGCAGACACTAGGATAGTAAGAATTTCTATCTCTAGAAATCCAGAAAGGTCCAAAATGCCCTGCACTTTGCTGGCTACAGTTGAATGACCTGCGTGGTGCAGGCCTTTGACTAGCTGCATGAAATTGCTCTGACCTTAGTGTAATTCCTTACCACACCTAAATTATTCCACATAAAACACTGACGTCTTCCCCATGTTTCTACCATTGTTAAAATTACAATTGCCATAACCCTTAAGTTCATAGTATCTGTCGTTACTTAGTTTCTCTTTAATCATTAATTCTTCTGTCCAAAGCAAAGTAAATAGGAAATTGGAGGATGCAAAGTGTCGCAGGGCCTGAAGGGTCCCATTTCTCACCTACCTGATAGGATTACAGAAGGCTTTCCCAAAGAAGCAGGCAGTGGCAGAGAGTACAGGCCTTGCCCTGAATATAAGTTTGGCCGTTATCACCGGAGTTGAGTGGTGGCATTGGGAGCTGTCACCCCACTGCTGCCGTTGTCTGCTTGGTGACCATGTGGTTCCATTCTCCTAAGCCATCTCAACAGGCCAGAGTACACCCTTCTGTCTTCAGCCATTTCTCTGCTCCCTGGTTGCCAAGAGCAGCGGCGGCAGCAGAGCAGGGCAGTCAGCAGGAGTCAGTGTGAGCTCGTCACCAAAACCACCCAGGGACATTTACCTGGGCAACCGGAAATGGAATTCCAGCTTCCCTTCCACCTTTTGTCTAACCCCGTTACCTGGGCAACCGGAAATGGAATTCCAGCTTCCAGTCCACCTTTTCTCTAACCCCGTTACCTGGCAACCGGAAATGAATTCCAGCTTCCCGTCCAACTTTTGTCTAACCCCGTCCGTTGCATGAGATGAGTTTGGTGAGCTGTTAATCCTCTGGAACTTTTTCTCATCTGTAAAATGGGAACAATAAATAACATCCAGGGTAGGTAAGGCTTTACTCAGATTAAATGTGACAAAACGTTCCTCATGTCATTCCCGGCAGTCAGTGAGCCTTTAGGACTATGGGTGTCCTTCTAGATAATTGGCATCCCAGAGAACCAGAACAAACAAAGAGGAAAAGGTAGATTGTTGCCAGGATACAATGTTTACATTTGGGTAAATCTCCTACATCCTCAGTAACATCCAGAGAAATTCAAAGTAAAACAATAATGAGTTACTATTTTTTGCCTAATGAATAATCAGGATTTGATGAGTTTTCAGTGCTGATAAGGGTGCAGTCTGCATGGCTGGCAGAGGTGTAAATGGGTCCATTCCATTGGAAAGATCTTAAAGTTTACACAACCACACACATCACAGAGTACTGCACAGCCATTAAATCACGATTCTTCTTTAGAGATGGGGTCTCGCCATGAGGCCCAGGCTAGAGTGCACTTAAAAACCTTGATTTGTTTTTTAAAGACTGCAAAGATGGGAAAATAGAATATAAAAATTGTGTATATTAAGTGAGAAAACCAGGTTATAAAATTGAATATACATACAGTATGATTCTGATTTAGTTTTATGGAGGAGTTGTGGTTTGTTACTGAGGCAGGGTCTCCCTCTGTCACCCAGGCTGGAGAGTTACAGTGGCACAATCTTGAGTCACTGCAGCCTCAACCTCCCAGGCTTAAGCGATCCACCCACCTCAGTCTTCCTCAGTAGCTGGGACCACAGATGCGCACCCCCACGCCTGGCTAATTTTTGCATTTTTTGTAGAGGCGGGGTTTTGCCATGTTGCCCAGGCTGGTCTCAAATTCCTGAGCTCAAGCGATCCTGCTGCCTGGCCCTCCTGAAGTGCTGGGATTACAGGTGTGAGCCACGGCTCCTGGCCCCCTGATTTAGTTTTTTATATACGTACACATAGGCTGGCTCCTTGATGTTGTTTCTCCTAGGTGATGGGAATTATACATAATTTTTTTCTTTTATATTTCTGTTTATTTCCCCAATTTTTTGCAACAAGAATGTGTTACGTGTATAACGAGAAAAACATGACTCATCGGCATGAGTCCACTCGGCACTGGGTCGCTGGAAGGGGCCGGTAATGCTCTCTGCTTTGCTCCACAGCTGCTGCTGGACACCCACTCGCTGAAGATGGTCCTGCTCGATCTCCCCTCCATCAGCTCGCAGGTGGTGAGGAAGGCACCCGCCAGCTACACCAAGATCGTTGTCAAAGGCATGACCCGGGCTGAGATGATCCTCAAGGTGATGGCTTGTGTTAAAAGGGGCCAGTTATTTATTTAATCTCTTTTTCTGAGAAGCCTTGGTTTTGAAAGCACAGGGTAGGTCCTATCCTCACCGGCCTCAAAGCATGGTCCACATTCTTGGGCTGGACTGGATTTTGGCCTCATCAGATATTGTTGAAAGTCTGTGGATAGTTATTAGGGCTCAGTAATTCCTTCTGACAAATGAATTTCTTGTTGGCGTGGGATTCTCTTGTGATCAAATGTGGTCAAGCTTGGAGGTTAGGTGGTTGCCACTGTGAATCAGTGTATGTCAGGGATCTCCGCTTCTCAGCAGGAATTTCAGGCACAGCTCTCAGTTACTCCCTTCCACATCAGCCTTTTTGGCTTTCTGTACTCTGCCACTTTAAATGAACTCTGAACAGATGTTGTAGTAACTGAATCTAATCAGCAAATGGATATTTTAAAGCCCCATTTAACAAGACTGTACTTCGAGTGAGGAACGTCTGAAGCCCTGCGCATCTGCCTCTGGTTTCCAGCTATTTTGAAGAGTAGGGATGAGGGCTGGAGAACAGATGGTCCTGTGGTGATGTGGTCTTAAAAGCCCAGGACCTGTAGGCTCTTCAGGCCACTTCCTAAACCAGATGACTCAGGGACGGCAGGAGTAGGAAGTGGCAGCAGGGCCTCAGACACCGGTGGGATGTGGGTGAGGATGAAGCAGCTCATGTAGGTAAGGGTGAAGAGCTCATGTAGGTGAGGGTGAAGAGCTCATGTAGGTGAGGGTGAAGCAGCTCATGTAGGTGAGGGTGAAGCAGCTCATGTAGGTGAGGGTGAAGAGCTCATGTAGGTGAGGGTGAAGCTGCCTCATCATGTTCTTTCCCTGCTGCTTACTGCTGGGGAGGAGAGCCTGTGGTCTGGGAATTATCGGCAGAGGATGCCTGAGTGAACTCCTCCTCGCCACTCTTCCCTTCAGTCTCAGGAATTCAAAACAAATCAGTCGGCTGGGGAAAGAAAATCAGATACTGCATTCCAGAACAAAACGGAAATGAATAAGGGTTGCAGTGCCGTTCCTTTCCTTTGTTTGTATGTTAATTGATAGTTTAAGTTAGTCGTTACATGAAGTTACAGATTTTAAGTCTCCAAAAGGTGAGGCAGCTTTGGCATTTTTGTTTTTGCAGAAATCCACTTACTTATACCAGCTCCTTTTGCCACCCATTTCTCAGGAATCATAGTACGTCAAGGCAGAAGGAGCAAGTACCGTGTACTGGTGAAATGCCTGGAACAGGAGACCCTCTCACGCAGGGTTTCCCGGATGGTCCTGATAGTTTAAAAGTCACCTGGGACTCCAGCCAGGCCTACTGAATTAGAGTCTTTAGAGGAGGGCCCCGGAAACCCATACTTCAAACAGCAGCGCAGGTGTATTTAGGATTCAGCAAATTTAGGACATTGCTGTAGTGGCATGTGAAGATGAGATGGGCCACTGGGGCGTTTCTAGTCTGGGTTGCTGCTGCTTAAGGAAACCTCTCAGAATCCATTTAGCGCTCGGCGGGCAAGTGAGGAGTGAGTTTTCCTGAAGGGCCCGCTCCCGTCTCCTCCTGCGGTGGGTAGTGAGTTTTCTTGAGGGCCCGCTCCTGTCTCCTCCCGTGGTGGTAGTTTTCCTGAGGGGCTTGCTCCTGTCTCCTCCCGCTGTAGGTAGTGATGGCCCCTCATGAACCGTTGGTGGTGTTTGTTGACAACTACATCAAACTTCTCACAGACTGCAACACAGAAACCTTTCAGAAGATACTGGACATGAAGGTTTGTGCCGGGACATTTGGTCCACACCTGCTCATCCCCCTCACACTCAGCGGTTCTTAACCGGGAATTGGGATATAAGTTCCGGGGGGGCTTTCTCAAAATGCATGTGCCTGGCTCCACAGAGCAAACCGGATTCAGAGAAGCCTCTGGAGGAGGATGGCCCCGGGCACGTGCACTTCAGGATTCTGACAGGCCCTGCATGCCCCGCTGAGACCACCTGCACAGGGAGGATGGGGCAGGGGCAGGGGGATGAGGACAGGCATGTTGTCCTTCCCACCTTCTTGACCTGTCCTTTCTCCTCTGTCAGCCGCTTCTTTCCCTTCCTTTACCTTTTCTTCCCCTCTCTTTTCCTCCCACGCTACTACCCAGGGGATGGTGAGTCCCTTGAGGAAACGGTTCATCCTCAGCCTGGAGTAACTATGCTGTCTCCAGAGCCTCTGCTGACCCCATATCCAGATACTGCGCTGTCCCCCGTGGGCCATTCTGGCCCAGACTTCGTGACGGTTCTGTTTCTCTCTCAACCTCAGGGGCTGAAGAGGAGTGAGCAGAGCAGCATGCTGGAACTCCTGCGCCAGCGGCTCCCCGCACCGCCCTCGGGGGCAGAAAGCTCCGGCTCACTGTCCCTGACGGCGCCAACACCAGAGCAAGAGTCGTCACGCATCCGCAAGCTCGAGAAACTCATTAAAAAGAGACTGTAGCAGCAGCAAGGGGCCCTTTGCTCCTGGCTGGAGACCCTCAGCGCCCGTTCCCCAGAAGCCCCCAACCTCTCCTGTGCTCCCCGGCACTCTCACATCGTCGGTCTTCAAACTTCCTGGGACATGTGGGTTGTTACTGAGTCTCTCCCATGCCCTGTCTTACTTCCTGCCCTAATCGGAGACGCTGAGTAAGGGCTGGGCTCTAAGAGGGCGATTTAGGTGATCTCTGGTTCGTGAAGCAGAGGCAGCAGTGGAGGATAGGTCCCTGAGCTGCCCTTGACTCATGTAGCCTCCCCATGGCAGTCACACCCTCTTGACACGTGGGCCCCACCCGTCCTTTTTTTTTTTTTTTTTTTTTTTTTTTGAGACAGAGTCTCGCTCTGTCACCCAGGCTGGAGTGCAGTGGCGTGATCTCGGCTCACTGCAACCTCCGCCTCCCAGGTTCAAGCAATTCTCCTGCCTCAGCCTCCTGAGTATCGGATTACAGGCGTGAGCCACCGAGCCCAGCCCCTTCCTCCATTTCTTTACTCCCACCCTGCTCCTGGTTTCTAGGGAAGGGAAACCAGGAAGTTCACTTGGAAGACGTTTCCTAGGTTTTCTCATCAGATGAAGCCATGGGAACGCCCAGGAAGTCCATACTCTCAAACCCCTTTCTGCCCACTCACCTTCAGGTCCACAGCACTTTCCAGCGTCATCTGAAATAGCAAAGGTGATGTGCAGCATCCCAGTGATGTGTTCCTGTGTTATGAGAAGGAGTCTGGGGTTCTGGATGCCTCAGGAACAGAATATGGACCTTAAAGACCAGGCTGAGAGCCTGGCCTGGCACGCAGCCTGCCCGCCCCCCCCGCCCTTCCTGTCCACCGCGGGCTCTCTGCAGCAGGGCTTGCCGAAGAGACTGCTCCCGACCTCTCATGTCATCCTGCATCCAGAGAATGGCAGCATATCAAGCCGTTAACCCTGATTCACTCGGTTCCCTTGAAACCAGGCCTCAGTTAACCATGACCACAGCTACAGGCAAACCGCTGCTGTTGCTGCCTGCTTTTGCTGAAGAATGATATCTTGCCAGGCACGGCGGCTCATGCCTGTAGTCGCAACACTTTGGGAGACCAAGGCAGGAGGATCACTTGAGTCCAGGAGTTTGAGACCAGCCTGGGCAACATACAGATGTCTACAAAAATAAAAATTTGCAAGGTGTGGTGGCATGCACCTGTAGTCCCAACTGCTAGGGAGGCTGAGGTGGGCAGATTGCTTGAGCTCAGGAGTTTGAGACCAGTCTGGGCAACCTGGCAAAACCAAAAATACAAAAAATTGGCTGGGTGTGGTGGCTCATGCCTGTAATCACAGCACTTTGGGAGGCTGAGGCAGGTGGATCACCTGAGGTCAGGAATTCGAGACCAGCCTGCCCAACATGGCGAAACCCTGTCTCAACTAAAAATAAAAAAAATTAGCCGGGTGTCATGGCGAGTGCCTGTAATCCCAGCTACTGGGGAGGCTGAGGCAGGAGAATCACTTAAACCCGGGAGGTGGAGGCTGCAGTGAGCCAAGATTTCACCACTGCACTCCAGCCTGGGTGACAGAGCAAGACCCCTTCTCAAAAAGTTTTCAGGATAGAGGAAATTTCCTTAAAATCCATAAAACTTGTAACAGCCGTACAGTAGGAATAAGGTTTGGAAATCTGCCTGGAAACCTGATTTCCTCATCCCCACCTTGTTTCCCAACATAACCACTGCTCTGTGCCCCTGCCCTCTCTGCCAGGCTTTCTCCCCGATGCCGTCCAGCTCTGATCCTGAGTGTCATTTCTTCATCGGCTTCCAGGCTGTCCTTGCTAGCTGGTTTGACTCTCACGCATCAAGCGTCTCAAATTTGAGAATGCGGAGGAGAAAAGAAGTGTTGCGAGAAGGAGATGCGGCCTTCAGTTGAGGTCTATTAGGAAAAGATTCCAAATAAGACAAGGGCGGGGGGCGGCAGTCGGGAGAGCCCCCAGGAAGCCCTGTAGATGCCCCCACCCCAGCCCATGGAGTTGCTATGGTTAAGCAGCCTGAGCCGTACAGTTGAAAAGGGGCGGTGGGGCCCATCTCCAAATAGCACAGCCAGTTCAGCCGTCTGTCCTCAACCCAGGAGAGCTGGGAAAGCCAGTGGACTCCTGCACCTGGTTCTTGTCACTCCTGGCGTTTGTGTACAGATCACCACTTCTCTTTTTGGTTCATTGTTGAGGAGTCGTTTTCCGGACGGCTCCATCACAGCATTGAGCTATCAAGCTGCTGTTTTCCACAGTTGGTGGTCACAGCCAGGGAAGTTGCTGTCTTGATTTGTTACATTGTCAGTAATCCCCAAGGAACCAATGGATGTCAGTAGGAGTTTCTGTTAAATGTCTCCTTGATGGGGACTCAGTACTGTGTAGAGACGCTGTGTTTCTCTTCTGGGGGTGTGCATCAGAACCACTGGGGCCTTTTAAAATCTACAGATGCCGGCCGGGCGCCGTGGCTCACGCCTGGAATCCCAGCACTTGGGGAGGCTGAGGCGGGCGGATCACAAGCGCAGGAAATTGAGACCATCCTTGCCAATATGGTGAAACCCCATCTCTACAAAAAATACAAAAATTACCGGGGTGTGGTGGCGTGCACACCTCCCAGCTACTTGGGAGGCTGAGGCAGGAGAATCGCTTGAACCCGGGAGGCAAAGATTGCAGTGAGCCGAGATCACGCCACTGCACTCCAGCCTGGCGACAGAGTGAGACTCTATCTCAAAACAAACAAAAAAACAGATGCCCGGAGATTTTGAGTCAGTAAGTTTGGATGGGGCCTGGCATACAGGTTTAAAAGTTCCATAGGTAGTTATAACGTTTACACCTTGTTAAGAACCACTGCAACAGAGAGATTTGCTTTATGGAAGGGCTCCTGCCACGCATTTTCATACATGTCTATTTTTCTGACTCTAAGCTAAAAGTGCGCCGACACTACACTTGAGCTGGTGCCAACGTGGTGAAGATTCTCTACTGATAACAGCTTTCATTTTAAACTTGTGTTGGGTCAGGCGCGGTGGCTCACGCCTGTAATCCCAGCACTTTGGGAGGCCGAGGTGGGCGGATCACATGAGGTCACGAGTTTGAGACCAGCCTGGCCAACATGGCAAAATCCCATCTCTACTAAAAATACAAAAAAAAAAAAAAAAAAAGCAGGCAGGTGGCGGGTGCCTGTAATCCCAGCTACTTGGGAGGCTGAGGCAGGGGAATCAGTTGAATCCGGGAGGCGGAGGTTGCAGTGAGCCGAGGTCCCGCCACTGCACTCCAGCCTGGGAGACAGAGTGAGACTCAGTTAAAAAAAAAAGACTTTTGGTGGTGGTGGGGACCATGCCCAGGATTGGGCTCTCTCCATACTGATGAGGATTCTTCTTGTTTTGATGACCAACCCCCAAGCAGAAGCTTTATTTATTAACATCACTTCAAAAATAACGTATCAAAGGGGCACCCTAGGCCGGGTACTGTGGCATCACACCTGTAATGCCAGTGCTTTGAGAGGCTGAGGTGGGAAGATTGCTTGAGCCCAGGACTTCAAGACAAGCCTGGGCAACAGAGTGAGACCCCATCTCTATTAAAAAATAGGCCGGGCATGGTGGCTCACACTGGTAATCCCAGCACTTTGGGAGGCCGAGGCAGGTGGATCATGTGAGGTCAGGAGTTCGAGACCAGCCTGGCCGACATGGTGAAACCCTGTCTTTACTAAAAATACAAAATTAGCCAGGCGTGGTGGTGGGCGCCTGTAATCCCAGCTACTCAGGAGGCTGAAGCAGGAGGATCGCTTGAACCCAGGAGGCAGAGGCTGCAGTGAGCCGAGATCATGCCATTGCACTCCTGCCTGGGTGACGGAGCAAGACTCTCTAAAAAATAATAAGGTAAAAGGAGTACCTGTGGATGAAAGCAGCAGCTAACAGCTCTGTGATTCAGCTAGACCTAGATATTGTGCCCATTCCTTCCCCTCAGTCCATTTTCTGTAGCCCCTTTAAAAACCAAAAAACAACTTTGAAGTCACTTTGGGTTTAAAATAAATAGTGGTAATTTGTATAATCAATAAAGAGTTCACTCTGCTCTTACTGAGGGGACTTGTCTGAAAGCTGGCTTAGCGGTGTCCAGGCCAGAGAACATCCTGTGTGGACTCTTAACAATGAAACAGGAGCCGCAATGGACAAGGTGTTCTGATCTCCAAACCCAGCTCAGGGATTGAAGCTAACTACCGCCACTCCTTCCTCTCTCGAAGAACAAAGAGCCAGTACCCAGGGCTCTGCCCACCCCCGAGAAGGGGTGCCTGATTTCTTATGTCTAGGGTGGCTCCTCTGTGCAGATCAGACAGGACTGAGAGCAGACAAGCTGAGACCAGCATGACCAGTACAGGGCACGCAGAGCGTGGGGGCAGGTCCGAGGCTGCTGCTCGATGCAGGGTATGACACCAACCCTTCCTGAATTGCCATCGGATGAGGAGACCTGGTTCCCTGTTGAAAGAATGCCAGGGGAAATGCTGCATGTGCACAGCTGGAAATGGGGTTCCTTCTCTAGGAAGAGCACTCGGAATAACCTGCTGGAAATGGGGTTCCTTCCCTAGGAAGAGCACTCAGAATAACCTGCTGGAAATGGGATTCCTTGGCTAGGAAGAGCACTCAGAATAACCTGCTGGAAATGGGATTCCTTGGCTAGGAAGAGCACTCAGAATAACCTGCTGGAAATGGGATTCCTTACCTAGGAAGAGCACTCGGAATAACCTGCTGGAAATGGGATTCCTTACCTAGGAAGAGCACTCGGAATAACCTGCTGGAAATGGGGTTCCTTCCCTAGGAAGAGCACTCGGAATAACCTGCTGGAAATGGGGTTCCTTCCCTAGGAAGAGCACTCGGAATAACCTGCTGGAAATGGGGTTCCTTCGCTAGGAAGAGCACTCGGAATAACCTGCTGGAAATGGGATTCCTTCGCTAGGAAGAGCACTCGGAATAACCTGCTGGAAATGGGATTCCTTCGCTAGGAAGAGCACTCGGAATAACCTGCTGGAAATGAGATTCCTTCCCTAGGAAGAGCACTCGGAATAACCTGCTGGAAATGGGATTCCTTCGCTAGGAAGAGCACTCGGAATAACCTGCTGGAAATGAGATTCCTTCGCTAGGAAGAGCACTCGGAATAACCTGCTGGAAATGGGATTCCTTCGCTAGGAAGAGCACTCGGAATAACCTGCTGGAAATGAGATTCCTTCGCTAGGAAGAGCACTCGGAATAACCTGCTGGAAATGGGATTCCTTCGCTAGGAAGAGCACTCGGAATAACCTGCTGGAAATGGGATTCCTTCGCTAGGAAGAGCACTCGGAATAACCTGCTGGAAATGGGATTCCTTCCCTAGGAAGAGCACTCGGAATAACCTGCTGGAAATGAGATTCCTTCCCTAGGAAGAGCACTCGGAATAACCTGCTGGAAATGGGATTCCTTCGCTAGGAAGAGCACTCGGAATAACCTGCTGGAAATGGGATTCCTTCGCTAGGAAGAGCACTCAGAACAACCTGCCTGCTTGAGGGTGACAGCAAGTGTCTCACACTTCTCGTCTACTCCAAGTCAGATTCCTAAAAATAAAATAGAGCTCCAATGGGCAATTTAAGCAAAAGCCTTAGAAACATGGACACCTGAAATGCTGGCCTACATGAAGGGTACGATGACATTTTATATATTAAATAAAAATTCCCAGTCCTGTTTTAGTATTCATCAGAATAGCCTCTTGGACCCTCGAAGTTCTACACCTTTGGGAGATATAAATTTCCTTAAAATAAAGGGATTGCTTCTTTGTGTAAATAGCTTTCATTTTCTCCATCTGGAAGTGATTTCTGCCTGCATGTTGGAGCACAAAATACTGCAGTTAATTAAAGCATTACTGGATGTCATTTGCTAGAATGTATTTCCTTACTGCTGACAGAAAACAGAACAGACTCTAGGAAAGAAGTAGCAAGTCCGTGACCCTGGCCGCTCCTGGTGGCTGCCCTTCTCCCTTCCCTGACAGTCTAAGGAAGCAACGCGTGGGAGCAGAATGTGGCCGACTGAGCCCAGTCCTGACCTGCCCAGTTGCAGTGGAGCCTGTCTGTAATGTTGTGTAAAGTGTTTTGCTTCTGACTTGGAACCCTACTTGCCCTGTGAATTTCTATCCTGTGAACCTTCCCTTCTCTGTCCTTACCGTTCCCATCACAGCCTGCTCTTCCAGTGACGGCCAAGTGATTTCTCTCCTGCACGCATGAGTCCATCCTGTTTCCTTAGTAGCTGGATGGACGTTTTGCCATGAAAACTCTTTGGGAAGTCTTGTGTCCTTTAGTGATTTCTCTCCTGCACGCATGAGTCCATCCTGTTTCCTTAGTAGCTGGTTGGACGTTTTTGCCATGAAAACTCTTCGGGAAGTCCTGTGTCCTTTCAACAGGGGAAAACTGGCTGCGGCCCTTCCATTAGGCTCCAGGATCATTACCTCGTTTCCATTCTTTCTTTTCAACAGCTCCCCACTTTACTAGGGAAGCCAAGGGATCAACCTAATGAGAAAAGAACCTTCCCTGTAGCCCACCTGGAAGGGCATTGCCTGCCAGCTCCTTCCTTCTCACCTATGTGAACAGGAGGGAAGATGCCGGCGATCCATGGATCTGTGGGACATGAAGGACGTGTCCATCAGAAATGAAAGCAGCCTGGGATTGGAAGCATCCACAGAAGACTTGATCTGCAGGTCTTGATTTGGACCTGGCACTTTGACACCAGGCGAGTCACTGATCCCCTGAGCATCCATTTTCAATATTGGTGAGAGGGGATTATAATGAATATTGGCTGTGAAGGTCACACAAGACCGGGCTATATGCACTTGCTCTGCCATAAGGCAGTGTGAAGTGTGTTCGTGATCACTTGTGGGCGGGAGCCTGTGGCTGTCTTGCCTGGACTGGCTTTTTTAAACATGGATGAGTGGTGACAAATCCTGCGGCCGTGTGCAGGCTACATCCGCAGCGAGCTCCGCATATCTGGTCTTTGCCTTTTTAGGTCATGACTGTAATATCAAGCTTACACGAGAGTTTTAAAAGACTGAGCAGTATCCCCTTCCCCTGGCAGCTGCTGCTTCCGTAGCATTTAGGGATAAACCTGCAGACACTGAGAAGAGAGCTTCCTCCCTCCTGGGGCTGGTGGCGAGGCTGCCTGTTGTGGAAAATAGGGCATGTCTCCTGTGAATGCGAATTGCGAGGGTTGCCAAAGCCTCCCTTCCAAGAAACTTGCTTAGGTGTCTGGTGTCCACAGACCAGACTCTTCTCCCGACAGGGACAAAAATTCTTGCCTGCCTTTCTTTTTCTTTTTTTTCCTTTTACTTATTCTTGCCTTTTTTCTTCTTCTTCTTCTTTAGGTATGATGCCCCCCAAAAAACTAAGCAAGATTAACTTGGGACAGGCAGTTCTAACTGGGAAGCCTGAGCTCACAGGCTGTTTGGATTACTTTCCAATTGTGTTTCAAAGATGTTTAGACTTTTCCCAAGGCCAGCTGAATCCTTATAATCAGCCCAAAAGTTCCTTTCTGTTTCTGTCTGTCCCCTTTGAGGGTGTTGACTCAGAGAACCTGGGGCAATATGAGATGTTAAAATAAAAATAGCGTCCAACGTCCCGCCTCCTGGGAATGCTGCTCACTTCATCCGAGGGTTCTGGGAGCTTCTGCTCAGTCATCAAATGGAATTTGCACAATTGTCTTGCCTCCTGTTTTGGGTAATTTTTCAACAAGTGAGAAATTAAGAACAGCTTCTCAACAAACTTCCCTCTACTTCCAGGGCCAAGAAAAGTATTTGCAGTGTGGGCTGCAGCTTTCAGGGGTCTCAGGTGAAATGGTGGCAAGAAACCCCAGCTCCCTTCATGTGTTTGCCTTGCGCTGATGGAAAAGGAAGGCACTTCTCAGCTGCCAGAGACCACATTCCACAGGGTTCTTCACAAAATCAAGCACTGCAGTGGACCAACTGGAGCAGCCACTGGAGGGCTTTAGAAGGCAAATGGAATACATATCAAATGCTATATAAAGAAAACATCTGTTTACACAGAGTCCCCCACAGCCTCATACCTACACCCAATATCAAATGCTGTATAAAGAAACATCAGTTTACACACAGAGCCCCCCACAACCTCATACCCACACCGAATATCAAATGCTATACAAAGAAACATCAGTTTACACACAGAGTCCCCCACAGCCTCATACCCATGCCTGTCACATCTTTGCACAGCCCTAAAGGATCCAGAGCTTTGGATCAGCAGCTGGCTAGCTCGGAGGCCAGAGGAGGGTGCTGAGGGGAGTGGAGGTCAGTTGGGGTAGCCCTGGGCCCTGGCTGCACAGTCCAGCTGCTGTGTGGCCTGCATGTGGTATCTTAGGTCATGAGAGGGCCTGGGCAATTCAGTGCTATCTGTACATGTTGGTGGGGTGGGAAGGAAAAGGTAACTGTGTATTTACTGTGTCCTGGATACATTATCTCATCGGATGAAATTCCTGCTAAGTTAAGCTCCGTTTAGTGGACGGGACTTGGAGGCTCAAAGAGGGTAAGTGACAGGCCCAAGGATATGTGCCTAGTGAGGGGTGAGCCAGGATTCGATGTGTGACTAGTAAGGGGTCAGCCAGGATTCAATATGTGACTAGTAAGGGGTCAGCCAGGATTTCATATGGGACTAGTAAGGGGTCGGCCAGGATTTGATACGTGACTAGCAAGGGGACAAGCCAGGATTTGATATGTGACTAGTGAGGGGCGAGCCAGGATTCGATATGTGACTAGTAAGGGGTCAGCCAAGATTTGATATGTGACTAGTGAGGGGCGAGACAGGATTTGATATGTGACTAGTGAGGGGCGAGCCAGGATTTGATATGTGACTGGTGAGGGGCGAGCCAGGATTTGATATGTGACTGGTGAGGGGCGAGCCAGGATTTGATATGTGACTGGTGAGGGGCGAGCCAGGATTTGATATGTGACTGGTGAGGGGCGAGCCAGGATTTGATATGTGACTGGTGAGGGGCGAGCCAGGATTTGATATGTGACTGGTGAGGGGCGAGCCAGGATTTGATATGTGACTGGTGAGGGGCGAGCCAGGATTTGATATGTGACTGGTGAGGGGCGAGCCAGGATTTGATATGTGACTGGTGAGGGGCGAGCCAGGATTTGATATGTGACTGGTGAGGGGCGAGCCAGGATTTGATATGTGACTGGTGAGGGGCGAGCCAGGATTTGATATGTGACTGGTGAGGGGTGGAGCCAGTCAGGATTTGATATGTGGTTAGTGAGGGGTTAGCCAGTCAGGATTTGATATGTGGCTAGTGAGGGGCGAGCCAGGATTTGATATGTGACTAGTAAGGGGGTGAGCCAGGATTCAATACGTGACAAGTGAGGGGTGAGCCAGGATTCAATACGTGACCAGTGAGGGGCGAGCCAGGATTCGATACGTGACCAGTGAGGGGCGAGCCAGGATGCGATACGTGACCAGTGAGGGGCGAGCCAGGATTCCATACGTGACTAGTGAGGGGTGAGCCAGGATTCGATATGTGAGTAGTGAGGAGTGAGCCAGGATTTGATATGTGGCTACTGAGGGGCGAGCCAGGATTTGATATGTGACTAGTAAGGGGTCAGCCAGGATTTGATACGTGACTAGTCAGGGGGTCAGCCAGGATTCGATACGTGACTAGTAAGGGGTCAGCCAGGATTTGATATGTGACTAGTGAGGGGTGAGCCAGGATTTGACATGTGACTAGTGAGGGGTGAGCCAGGATTCAATATGTGACTAGTGAGGGGTGAGCCAGGATTCGATATGTACCTAGTGAGGGGTCAGCCAGGATTTGATATGTGGCTAGTAAGGGGTGAGCCAGCCAGGATTTGATATGTGACTAGTGACGAGTGAGCCAGGATTTGATATGTGACTAGTAAGGGGGTGAGGCAGGATTTGATATGTGACTAGTAAGGGGGTGAGGCAGGATTTGATATGTGACTGGTGAGGGGTGAGACAGGATTTGATATGTGACTAGTGAGGGGTGAGCCAGGATTTGCTATGTGACTAGTAAGGGGGCGAGCCAGGATTTGGCTCCAGCCTTCATTCCAACATCCATGCCTTTTGTACTTCACCAGCAGTTTTCAAATTTATGGGACAAAATTTTACATTGGATTCCCTCTATACAAAATAGATAAAAGTATTTTATGAATACATTTTATGAGTTCAAATATTTTTCAGAAGAAATCAGTAAAAGCATTGAAAACTATTCCAGCAAATAGGAAGCACTTTAAACCAAGGTTATGGATGAAAATGTGTGTGTATCAACCCCAGTTTACTTCTGGGTTGCACAGAATAGAGAAATCTTGATTTAATCCAGCTAAGAATTTTCAAATAGTATCCATTTTGTTTTGTTTTAAACAGCTCTTCTTGCAATGGTAGAGGCTCTTCAATTAAACAGAGATGGTAACAGGCTCCTTGTCTCCTGAAGTCTTCATGGCCGTGAACAGCCCTTGGAGAAAGAGGTTAACAGAAGCAAGGGCCTCCGACATCTTACATTTGCCCCCAGAAGACATTTGAGGATGCGCGTTGCGTTATTACCATTTTTAATGTTTAGTTTTTAGAACTAAAACTAAATGCATTTTAAAAGTGAAGTTAGAATCAAACCTTTGTAGAGGTTCTCACTCCACCAAAACATCACTGAAGATTTCCAGGTTTCCCCAGGTGTCTGTTTGGAAGCTGCTGCCCTCATTGACGCACGTTGCTCATTGTTTTTCTGACCTTAGAGGGGAGGTCAGGCTTGGCACTGTCACCTAGTACAGGAAAGGGCACCGTTTGACTTGAGGTAGCCACCCATTCAACAATAGCACCTAAACTCTCTCCCAAATTCTGTGCAAATACAGGTTGAGCATCCCTAATCTGAGATGCTTGGGCCCAGGAGTGTTTTGGAGTTCAGCTTTTTTTTGATTTTGGAATATGTGTATTATGTACATGCCACTTCAGCATCCCTAATTGGAAAATCCCAAATCCAAATCGCTTCAGTGAGCACTTCCTTTGGGTGTCATGTCAGCACTCAAAATATTTTGGATTTTGGAGCATTTTGTATTTCGGATGCTCGACCCATAAGGCTGTGGGGCACAACTGAGACGAGGCCTTGTGGCCTTTGGAAAGAACATCTGAGAACCCTCTGAGTAACCCCTGGTGCAAGGGAGACAGTACTAAGAACAAAGCAGTGTCACTGGGATGGAGAAGGGGCTTGGTCAGAGGGAGGTGGGCGATCAGAAGAACCCAATCCTTCCAAAAGCCCCAAATCTTGTGCTTGAGACCTCGCATGACTGTGTAGGCAATGCTTCCCGACCTTTTCAGGACTTGAAACAGAAGTGACGACATGAGTAACTCCTCTTCCCTCAACAGAAGAGGCTGCTGGGGCCGGAAGTGATGGGCCTGGGGACACCTCCCTCCCTCCACAGCCCCAAGGCTAAAGGGATCAGTATCTGGCCATTTGCTGGATACCTTTGCGGTGGCCCCAGCATTCCAGTTGGGAAACTCAGAATTGGGGCATGAAGGTTGGAATTAGAGCATCGGGGTTGGGTGGTGTGTTTGTTTCCGTGTTGGGAACTTTGTCAAAGTCCCTCCATTTGTAGATGGGATGCTGAGATCTCAAGAGGTTTAATCACTGGCTTACTCCCCGCCATAGAAGAGGAGCGGCAAAAGCTAAGCCACTTGTGTACATGCCACTCTCAATATCCTGCTCTCAACTCACCACACCACTTTCCCTAGCTGTCCAGTCCTGGGGTCTGTCCTTTGCCCCACCCAGGTCTTCAGAGACTGTCCCCTTTCACCCTCTGCTTGCAGAAGTGAACAGGGGTCCCCCTGCTTTTCCTGATGCCACTCCCCCCCACAGCCTGTCGGTTTTGTTAGTGCGTCAAGGGAGTCCACTGCCCCCATCCCCACATGCATTCCTGCCGAGCAAGTCAGCTTCCATCTCAAGCACTGTCCTGACCCCGCTCTTGAGGGTCACCGGTGCTCTTCTAGAAAGTCAGCTTCCATCTCAACCACTGTCCTGACCCCGCTCTTGAGGGTCACCGGTGCTCTTCTAGAAAGTCAGCTTCCATCTCAACCACTGTCCTGACCCTGCTCTCGAAGGTCACCAATGCTCTTCTACAAAGTCAGCTTCCATCTCAACCACTGTCCTGACCCCGCTCTCAAAGGTCACCGGTGCTCTTCTAGAAAGTCAGCTTCCATCTCAACCGCTGTCCTGACCCTGCTTTCGAAGGTCACCAATGCTCTTCTAGAAAGTCAGCTTCCATCTCAACCACCGTCCTGACCCTGCTCTCGAAGGTCACCAATGCTCTTCTAGAAAGTCAGCTTCCATCTCAACCGCTGTCCTGACCCTGCTCTCGAAGGTCACCAATGCTCTTCTAGAAAGTCAGCTTCCATCTCAACCGCTGTCCTGACCCTGATCTCGAAGGTCACCAATGCTCTTCTACAAAGTCAGCTTCCATCTCAACCACTGTCCTGACCCCGCTCTTGAGGGTCACCGGTGCTCTTCTAGAAAGTCAGCTTCCATCTCAACCGCTGTCCTGACCCTGATCTTGAAGGTCACCAATGCTCTTCTACAAAGTCAGCTTCCATCTCAACCACTGTCCTGACCCCGCTCTTGAGGGTCACCGGTGCTCTTCTAGAAAGTCAGCTTCCATCTCAACCACTGTCCTGACCCCGCTCTTGAGGGTCACCGGTGCTCTTCTAGAAAGTCAGCTTCCATCTCAACCACTGTCCTGACCCTGCTCTCGAAGGTCACCAATGCTCTTCTACAAAGTCAGCTTCCATCTCAACCACTGTCCTGACCCCGCTCTCAAAGGTCACCGGTGCTCTTCTAGAAAGTCAGCTTCCATCTCAACCGCTGTCCTGACCCTGCTCTCGAAGGTCACCAATGCTCTTCTAGAAAGTCAGCTTCCATCTCAACCACCGTCCTGACCCTGCTCTCGAAGGTCACCAATGCTCTTCTAGAAAGTCAGCTTCCATCTCAACCGCTGTCCTGACCCTGCTCTCGAAGGTCACCAATGCTCTTCTAGAAAGTCAGCTTCCATCTCAACCGCTGTCCTGACCCTGATCTCGAAGGTCACCAATGCTCTTCTACAAAGTCAGCTTCCATCTCAACCACTGTCCTGACCCCGCTCTTGAGGGTCACCGGTGCTCTTCTAGAAAGTCAGCTTCCATCTCAACCGCTGTCCTGACCCTGATCTTGAAGGTCACCAATGCTCTTCTACAAAGTCAGCTTCCATCTCAACCACTGTCCTGACCCCGCTCTTGAGGGTCACCGGTGCTCTTCTAGAAAGTCAGCTTCCATCTCAACCGCTGTCCTGACCCTGCTCTCGAAGGTCACCAATGCTCTTCTAGAAAGTCAGCTTCCATCTCAACCGCTGTCCTGACCCTGATCTCGAAGGTCACCAATGCTCTTCTACAAAGTCAGCTTCCATCTCAACCACTGTCCTGACCCCGCTCTCGAGGGTCACCGGTGCTCTTCTAGAAAGTCAGCTTCCATCTCAACCGCTGTCCTGACCCTGCTCTCGAAGGTCACCAATGCTCTTCTAGAAAGTCAGCTTCTATCTCAACCGCTGTCCTGACCCTGATCTCGAAGGTCACCAATGCTCTTCTACAAAGTCAGCTTCCATCTCAACCACTGTCCTGACCCCGCTCTCGAGGGTCACCGGTGCTCTTCTAGAAAGTCAGCTTCCATCTCAACCGCTGTCCTGACCCTGATCTCGAAGGTCACCAATGCTCTTCTACAAAGTCAGCTTCCATCTCAACCGCTGTCCTGACCTTGCTCTCGAGGGTCACCGGTGCTCTTCTAGAAAGTCAGCTTCCATCTCAACCACTGCCCTGACCCTGATCTCGAAGGTCATCAATGCTCTTCTACAAAGTCAGCTTCCATCTCAACCGCTGTCCTGACCCTGATCTCGAAGGTCACCGGTGCTCTTCTAGAAAGTCAGCTTCCATCTCAACCACTGTCCTGACCCTGCTCTCGAGGGTCACCGGTGCTCTTCTAGAAAGTCAGCTTCCATCTCAACCGCTGTCCTGACCCTGCTCTCGAAGGTCACCAATGCTCTTCTACAAAGTCAGCTTCCATCTCAACCACTGTCCTGACCCTGCTCTCCAAGGTCACCGATGCCCTTCTAGAAAGTCAGCTTCCATCTCAACCACTGTCCTGACCCTGCTCTCAAAGGTCACCGATGCCCTTCTAGCCTGACTCACATCTGTCTTGACCCTTCTCTGGAAGGTCACCGATGCCCTTCTAGCCTGACTCACATCTGTCTTGACCCTTCTCTGGAAGGTCACCGATGCCCTTCTAGCCTGACTCACATCTGTCTTGACCCTTCTCTGGAAGGTCACCGATGCCCTTCTAGCCTGACTCACATCTGTCTTGACCCTTCTCTGGAAGGTCACCGATGCCCTTCTAGCCTGACTCACATCTGTCTTGACCCTTCTCTCGAAGGTCACCGATGTTATTCTAATCTGGCTCACATCTGTCCTGACCCTTCCTTCTCTCGAAGGTCACCGATGTTATTCTAATCTGGCTCACATGTGTCCTGACCCTTCCTTCTCTCAAAGGTTACCGATGCCCTTCTAGCCCAGCTCACATCTGTCCTGACATTTCCTTCTCTCGAAGGTCACTGAGGTTCTTCGTCTGGCTCACATCTGTCCTGACCCTTCTCTCGAAGGTCACCGATGCCCTTCTAGCCCGGCTCACATCTGTCCTGCCCAACTGCAGGATAATGTAACTGTTCTGAGCACGTTTAAGGTAGGCTAGGCTAAGCTATGACATTGGGGAGGTTAGGTGTATTAAATGCATTTTTGACTTAACAATGTAACTTACAGTGGGTTTATTGGGACGTAACCCCATCATCTGTGGAGGGGCATCTGTGTGTGAGTCCCCTCTCCCTGGAATCCTCCTTTAACTGTGTGAGTCCCCCTCTCCCTGGAATCCTCCCTTAACTCTGAGTCCTCCTCCCCGGAATACTCCTTTAACTGTGTGAGTCCCCCTCTCCCCGGAATTCTCCCTTAACTCTGAGTCCTCCTCCCTGGAATACTCCTTTAACTGTGTGAGTCCCCCTCTCCCCGGAATCCTCCCTTAACTCTGAGTCCTCCTCCCCGGAATACTCCTTTAACTGTGTGAGTCCCCCTCTCCCCGGAATTCTCCCTTAACTCTGTGAGTCCTCCTCTCTCCGGAATTCTCCCTTAACTGCTTTACTGGCTCTGGGACTTCTTAGTCTCCTTCCCCAGCTCTCCTCTCCTTCTGAGCCTTGACAGCGGCCAGGCCTCGAGGTCTTAGGCCCCCTGTTTTCATGCCAGGCTCCTGAGGACTTACCTGCCATCACAGGTGCAAACACCAGCTACACCTGAGCTCCCCCCAATTTTCAGTTCCTGTCTTCTAGCCAACTCCCATCATTAGCTTATATGCACCATCTCGAGGTAAGCTCAGCTTCCTTCCTGAATCCCCCATTTTTCTTTTTTTCTTTTCTTGTCTCTCTCTCTTTTTTTTTTTTTTTTTTTTTTTTTTGAGACAGGGTCTTATTCTATTGCCCAGTCTTGTCTCAAACTCTTGGGCTCAAGTGAGCCTCCCGCCTCGGCCTCCCAATGTGTGGGGATTACAGGCATGAGCCACCGCACCCGGCTGAATTCCCCATTTCTAAATGGCTCCACCTTCCTTTCCTAGGGCCTCAATCTCAACACCTTACTCACCCCTAACCACTCTGGCTGTCAGCCAATATGGTTAGTTTATCATAACATTTTTTTCTTAATGATTACACAGAGAACAGTCACAGAAATCAAAAGAAAATCTTGCCCCAACAAATCAAGAATGGAAGTCCCAGGAAGCCCGCACCGGCGGGTCTCGGTGTGCGGAAGCCGGAAGCCATTCTCTGCTGCTCAGGCGGGTCTCGGTGTGCGGAAGCCGGAAGCCATTCTCTGCTGCTCAGGTGGGTCTCGGTGTGCGGAAGCCGGAAGCCATTCACCCCTGCACCGGCGGGTCTCGGTGTGCGGAAGCCGGAAGCCATTCACCCCTGCACCGGCGGGTCTCGGTGTGCGGAAGCCGGAAGCCATTCTCTGCTGCTCAGGCGGGTCTCGGTGTGCGGAGTCCACTCTCCCTGGGCTCCCGGCTGGGCCTGCTCCACGCCTCTTTCCGTAGGGTTTCTCAGAAGGAGCTAAAGAGCCTGGCTCCAGCGGGTCTCTTCTCAAAACCGACGACACTGATGGCTCAGTGTGGCCTGTGCTGCTATTACCCTATAATATTGCAGTAGCAATGCTCATTTTTAAAGTACAGTGGGGCCGGGCGCGGTGGCTCACGCCTGTCATCCCAGCACTTTGGGAGGCCGAGGCGGGCGGATCACGAGGTCAGGAGTACAAGACCAGCCTGGCCAACATGGTGAAAGCCCATCCCTACTAAAGATAACAAAAAATTAGCCAGGCATCATGGCGCACACCTGTAATCCCAGCTGCTTGGGAGGCTGAGGCAGGAGAATCATTTGAGTCTGGGAGGCGGAGGTTGCAATGAGCCAAGATCGCGCCATTGCACTCCAGCCTGGGCAATAGGCGAGACGCCATCTCAGGGGAAAAAAAAAAAAATTAGCCAGTTTTGGTGGCACATGCCTGT
Organism: Homo sapiens; assembly: GCF_000001405.40. Lineage (NCBI taxonomy): Eukaryota > Metazoa > Chordata > Mammalia > Primates > Hominidae > Homo > Homo sapiens. Next base: position 502,489 of record NC_000017.11, on the reverse strand, counting down.
AATCCCAGCTACTCGGGGGGCTGAGGCAGGAGAATCACTTGAACCCGGGAGGTGGAGCTTTCAGTGAGCTGAGATCATGCCAGTTCACTCCAGCCAGAGTGAGACTGTCTCAAAAAACAACAACAAAAAAAAAACCACTACATGGAAATATATCAGAAGTCCTACTCTCCTGTGAAGATTTCTCTGTATCTGTATGTGGGAAAAAGGAGATACTTTGTCAAAGGAAAAAAAAAAAAAAGAAATTAACATGAAGCAGGCCCCCCCACCTGCCAGATAACAAAATCCTGGATGCTCAGGTCCCAGGCCCCGAGTCAGCCCTGTGGAACCTGTGGGCACAAAAATTTGGGTCTTGACTTCTCAGCATCCTGAGAATTCTGTATTTTCATTCCAGAGTTGGTTGAATCTGTAGCTGCAGAACTGGCAGATGCAGAAGGCTGACTGTACATCTTGGACTTTTCCCTTGCCATGTATAGATCTACTCATTATTTTTAATGGCTGCTTGGTGCTTTATAGCTCAGCTATGCCATCATTTTTTTTCTTTTTTTTGAGACGGAGCCTCGCCCTGTCCTCAGGCTGCTGGAGTGCAATGGTGCGATCTCGGCTCACTGCAACCTCCTTCTGCCAGGTTCAAGCGATTCTCCTGCCTCAGCCTCTTGAGTAGCCGGGATTACAGGCGCCCGCCACCACGCCTGGCTAATTTTTGTATTTTTTAGTAGAGACAGGGTTTCGCCATGCTGGCCAGGCTGGTCTCAAACTCCTGACCTCAGGTGATCTGCCCTCCTTGGCCTCCCAAAGTGCTGGGATTACAGGCGTGAGCCACTTCACCCGGTCCCATCATTTATGTCATCAGTGCTATGGTTTGAATGTATATGTCCCTCCAAAATTCTTATGTTGAAAGTGAATCCCCGATGTGATAGTATTAAGATGTGGGGCCCTTAGGAGGTGGTTAAATCATGAAGAAGGGGCCTCAAGAATGGGATTATGACCTTATAAAGAGGTGCAGGGGAGCTGTGTGACACCCTGTGACTTTCTGCCTTCTGCCATGTAACAAGCAACATGGCGCCATCTTGGAAGCAAAGAGCAGCCCTCACTGGGCACGGAGTCCGTCAGCACCTGATCTTCGACGTCCTGGCCTCCAGAGCTGTAAGGAACAACGATCTACTATTTATCAATTAGTCCGTGGCATTTTATTGTAGCAGCGTGAATACACTGAGACAGCCAGTCTTCTAGCAATATAGCCAAAAGGCTGTGTTTAGTTTTTTGGCATTAGACTCACATCATCTGTGAAAATCTTTCTGCAAATGTCTTTGCTTGCTTGTACTCACATTTTTGTAGGACATTATCCTAAAATGGTTACATTTCCACTTAAAATGATTAAGGCTGGGCATGGTGGCTCACACCTATAATCCCAGGACTTTGGAAGACCAAGTCAGGCAGATCACTTGAGCCCAGGAGTTTGAGAGTGACCTGGGCAACACGGTGAAACCCCATCTCTACAAAAAATTATCCGGGTGTGGTGGTGCGCTCCTGTAGTCCCAGCTACTCGGGAGGCTGAGACGGGAGGATCGCTTGAACCCTGGGATGTCAAGGCTGCAGTGAGCTGTGATTGCACTGCTGCACTCCAGCCTGGGTGACAGGGAGACCCTGTTTCAAAAAGGAGAAAAATCAGATTAAAGGAGGTGTACATTTAAAATGTCGCTAGCTGGCCGGGCGTGGTGGCTCATGCCTTTAATCCCAGCACTTTGGGAGGCCGAGACGGGCGGATCACAAGGTCAGGAGATCAAGACCATCCTGGCTAACACAGTGAAACCCTGTCTCTGCTAAAAATACAAAAAATTAGCTGGGCGTGGTGGCCGGCGCCTGTAACCCCAGCTACTCGGGAGGCTGAGGCAGGAGAATCGCTGGAACCTGGGAGGCGGAGCTTGCAGTGAGCCAAGATCGTGCCACTGCACTCCAGCCTGGGCAACAGTGCGAGACTCTGTCTCAAAAAACAAACAAACAAAAAAAGCCCGCTAGCTCTTGCCAAAACACCTGCTGCAGTTGGTTTTGCTGCACATCCCCATGGTGGGTGTGTGGGTACCCACCGCACATCCTCACTCATCCTGCGTGGCTTTTCCTGTTTCTTGAGAGAGAGGATGTAGTTTCATCTCTATCTGTAGAAACCCAGTAAGCAGAAGTTCCCCTTTGGTTTTCATTGCACAAGGCCAGCTGTGACCCAACTGTGTCTTGCAAGAGAGTGTTCTTATTCAAGATCTACTGAGTAAAGACCCCTGCCTTTCCTCCCGGTCAGGGGTCCTCCAGTGCGTGATTTCTTGGTTCTCTCAGGACATCAATGATCATCCTTTGGATAGGTAGCGAAGTCACATTTTGCTGTTAAGTGGTTGTTTTTCTATTCTTTGCCCCTTTCCGCAGCAGCAGGTGGGGCCTCGTCTATGCACTGCGCTCAGGTGCAGATGGTATCGAGATAATTGCTTGAATTCTTGTGCAGACTTTTGTAATTCTGCAGTAGAGACAAAAGTCTTGGAATCCGTGCTATCAATGTAAGAATGTTGGAATGCTGTTTTGGTTTGTTTTCTTATTCTAAAAATCTGCCTTTAAATGTTAAGAACCAAAATGCTGAAGCATTTTTGCACCCAATCCACACTATCATCACAGGGACCGGGCATCTGGACATAAACATTTTTTTTCCACCTAAAAAGAAAGAAAGTGGATTTTGCCCAGCAGATGAGAAAAGAAAAGCCAGAGAGGCTTAAAGGCTTGTAGGTCCCTGAGAAGAAACCCGGAGCCCCAGCACTCTGGGCTGAGCCCCAGTAGGAGAAGCACCCCCATCAGCTTGAGGAGGATGCTAATCTAGAAGCCACTGTCTGGCTTCCAGCAATGCCCCTGTGAGACTGAAGCCCCCAGAGAAAAGTTCTGTGTTCAACAAGGCACCAGGAGACAGCGAGTGAGGACCTGAGGGTGCTGTCCAGTTAGAAAGGCCTAAGGGGGAGGCCTCTGTGTACCGCAGAGTCCCTCCTACCCAATCATGGGCAGGTAATGGCTGCTAAGAGCTCCCAAGCTCCCAGAAGTAGTGAAAGGACCAGCACATTGGCTGAGACCTGGATTTGGAACAAGCAGAATGGAAAGCAGGCGGCACGTGGACACCAAAGCAGACAGTAGGGCTGGGTGTGCTGGCTCCTGCCTGTCATCCCAGCACTGTGGGAGGCCGAGGCAGGCGGATCACCCGAGGTCAGGAGTTCAAGACCAGCCCAGCCAACATGGCGAAAGCCTGTCTCTACTAAAAATACAAAAATCAGCTGGTGTAGTGGTGCATGCCTGTAGTCCCAGCTACTTGGGAGGCTGAGGCAGGAGAATGGCTTGAACCTGGGAGGCAGAGGTTACAGTGAGCTGAGATCATGCCACTGCACTCCAGCCTGGGTGACAGAGAAAGACTCTGTCTCAAAATTAAATTAAATTAAATTGCTGAGAATGGCCAGGCGCGGTGGCTCACGCCTGTAATCCCAGAACTTTGGGAGGCTGAAGCGAGTGGATCACTTGAGGTCAGGAGTGTGAGACCAGCCTGGCCGACATGGTGAAACCATGTCTCTACTAAAAATACAAAAATTAGCTGGGCGTGGTGGCAGGTGCCTGTAGTCCCAGTGACTCTGGAGGCTGAGGTAGTAGAATCCCTTGGACCTGGGAGGCGGAGGTTGCAGTGAGCTGAGATTGCACTCCTGCACTCCAGCCTGGACCACAGAGACTCTGTCTCAAAGAAAAAAAGCAGAGAGTGGCACTCAATGGCCGAGCAGAACAAGTTACACGTCAGTAGAGGCCAGGGAGGTGGGAAGATCAGCATGGGCCAGGTGCTCACCACCAGCCTCCCAGCCTTGCTGCCAGGATGCCAGATAAGCCTCCCAGGTGCCACCACCTTGGCCAAGCTCCCCTCCCTCCTCTGCCTTGCCTTTCTCTCCTCTCCTCTCCTTTTCCCTCCATCCCTCCCTCCCTCCCTTTCTCTCTCTTTCTTTCTCTCTCTCTTTCTTTCAACAGGCTCTCACTGTGTCACCTAGGCTGGAGTGCAGTGGTGCGATCTTGGCTCACTGCAGCCTCTGCCTCCCAGGTTCCAGCGATCCTCCCACCTCAGCCTCCCAAGCAGCTGGGACTACAGGCGCCCAGCACCACACCAGGCTAGTTTTTGTATTTTTTGTAGAGATGGTGTTTCACCGTGTTGCCCAGACTGATCTCTCCTGAGCTCAAGCAATCCTCCCGCCTCAGCCTCCTGAGTAGCTGGGACTACAGGCATGCGCCACCACACCCGGCTATTTTTTGTATTTTTTGTACAGATGGGGTTTCACCCTGTTGGCCAGGATGGTCTCGAACTCCTGACCTCAGGTGATCCACCCGCCTCGGCCTCCCAAAGCGCTGGGATTACAGGCGTGAGCCGCCGTGCCCAACCCTCAAAGGGGTGTTTTTAGAAATTGATATTTGTGTCTTGGTCTAGCCCTGCAGGGTTCATGTTTGAATTCTACAGAGAAGGCAGAAATAAAGGAAGCCACGGGGCTTCAGGACCACCCCACCCACGCAACCAGGAGGGGTGAGAGGCGCTTTGCAGCAGAAGACCTACAGGCTAATGCCCGAGAGCCACAGGGGCCTCTGCCACCACCAGCACCGGCAGCAGTGCCCAGGGCTTTGGGCGGTGCCTGGCAAGGGGCAAGGGGCAAAGGGCAAGGGGACCGTACCCATGTGCCACCACTGTCACCTCTCTCAAGAGGCTGCAGGGGCTGATGGTACTTGTAGCAGGGGCACCCAATCGGAGGACCATGGTGGTCCACCGTCACACACCTTAGCAGAACCAGAGGCCAGGACAGTGAGGGCTAGAAAAAGAAAAGAAAATTAAGAGCAGGCATTCCATAAGTGTGACCAGGTTTATTTATGAGCTTATGAAAGACATCTTCGGGGATTCCCAGACGTACTTGTCAGTGGTTGGAGGTGGGGGTGGAAGTCCTACAAGGGAGCGGGGAGAGGGGCAACAACACTGCCCCAGTTGGCCCCAGGCTGATGTGGCCTGGGAAGAGATAAGACCCTCCCTCACCACAAGTTCTTCCCCCTCTGGCTCATTCTCAGTAAAGACCCAAAACTGAAACACATTTCTTCAAAGCATGTAAATGTCTTCAGCAAGTATCAGGCTGCAAACCACAGCTGCCTCCAGCCTGCATGTATTCTGCTCTGAACTGGGGATAGGAGAGGGGTACGTGAAGCCACTGTGGCTCCCGGGAAGGACACAGCTAAGTCACCTGTCATTGTGTGGAGCAAACAGGCTGCCTCCAAGGGCCCTCGCTCTCCGTCCCTTCCCGGGCAGCCCCCACAGACCCGAATCCTCAAGGGGCCCTGGAGTACCATGGAGACCTTTGAGCCTGCCTTTGGAGTGTGGCCACACAGACCAGACGTTTGATCCCCAGGGATAATGACAGCACGCCCTTCTAGCAAGTCAGCCCAGGAGCCGAGGGTCTTAACTTCAACTGCTCACCCAAGGGCTACTTTTCTGGTCTGCAAGTCCTCGTCCAGCACGAATACGCAGAACGGAGCCCGAAGTGCAAGTGTATTGATGCAGCTCCGAGGAGGCCATGTGCCCCAGCTCTTTGCCAAATCCCACCTGGATTTATTTTGCAGAAGACAAGGAAGGTCCTTTTCTGTGTAACTAGGGAGCATTTGGGAGAATCAGCTCTTAGCTTACAAAGAGGCCTCCAGAGTGGAGCCGTGTTTGACTGGCATCAGGGGACTCCCCACACTGGGCACACTGGACTGATGGATGCCAGCTGCACTTCCTGTCTGGGTTTGTGTCATCATTTGGACCTGGCCAGACCCCACGACTCCAGCCAAACGGGTGGTCTCCCAACTGAGAGATCAGAAAAAAAGCCAACGGGGCACAGTGGCTCACACCTATAATCCCAGCACTTCAGGAGGCCAAGGCAGGTAGATCACCTGAGGTCAGGAGTTTGAGATCAGCTTGGCTGATTTCAACATGGTGAAACCCTGTCTGTACTAAAAATACAAAAATTAGCTGGGTGTGCTGGTAGGCTTCTGTAATCCCAGCTACTCGGGAGGCTGAGGCAGGAGAATCACTTGAACCCAGGAGGTGGAGGTTGCAGTGAGCTTAGATCGTGCCACTGCACTCCAGCCTGGGCAACGAGAGCAAAACACTGTCTCAAAACAAAAAACAAAAAAACCCAAACAAACAAAAAACAAAACAAAACTAAGAAAGCCAGCCTGTTCCTTCAGACCTGATAGCCCTGAAAGCGAGAACTTTGGTAGCCCTTTGCCTGTATCTGTTTCAGGCCATCTTTGTGAGTCTCGGGGGCTCAGGGTTATGAATCGAGCTCACCAACATGTGTGGGTACACTCATATGGGCTGTGTTCTGTCAGGTTTGTGTTTTTAATTCAATTCGCTTCTTTACTGAATATGACAGGTCCCTTTCAATGTTCTTTGAAAACTATCACCTTAATCTAAACTAAGGAACAAAATAACTTTTTGTTAAAAACATTTTTAGGACAGGGTCTCGTTCTACCACCCAGTAGTGCGATGGCGTGATCATAGCTCATTGCAGCCTTGACGTGGGCTCAAGTGATTCTCCCACCTCACCCTCCTGAGTATCTGAGACTACAGGTACCTGCCACCCACCTCACCCTCATGAGAATCTGAGCTCACCCTCCTGAGAATCTCAGACTACAGGTACAGGCGGCCACCATGCCAGGCTAATTTTAACAAAAATTTTGTAGTTGGCTGGGTGTGGTGGCTCACACCTGTAATCCCGGCACTTTGGGAGGCCGAGGAGGGAGGATGGCTTGAGCCCAGGAGTTCAAGAGCAGCCTGGGCAAGATGGTAAGACCCTGTCTCTACAAAAATAGAAATAAATGTTAAAAAAATGATAAATTATGAGAACAGAGCAATAAAAATATAAACATAAATTATAAAAGTAGAGCTTTACGGCTGGATGTGGGGGTGCACTCCAGTGGTCCCAGCAACTCAGGAGGCAGAAGTGGGAGGGTTGCTAGAGCCCAGGAGTTCAAGGCTGCAATGAGCTATGATCGTGCCACTGCACTCCAGCCTGTGTGACAGAGGGAGACCCTGTCTCTATTAAAAAACAAAACAAAACAACAACAAAAAAAGTGTAGAGATGAGGACTCACTATGTTGCCCAGGCTGGTCTCAAACTCCTGGGATCAAGCAATCCCCACCCCTCGGCTTCCTGAAGTGCTGAGATGACAGGTGTGAGCCACCATGCCCAGCTGTAAAGTTCTGTTTTTCAAAAAGCATTTTGGTTGACAGGTGCATATGAAGGAAAGAGAAGACCTGGTTCAACAGCAGGCAAATCCACACATCATGAGCCACAGAACAGCCCAAGACCTGGGGGCTGGGAGAGGGCCGGTGTCGGGCACGGGGCACCAGCCAGCATGCGGGGCCTGGGGTGTGTTTAATCCACTGTCTGGCAGGGCTTACGGAAGACAAGCTGTTCCGAAACAGTACGCAGCAGCGGTGTGGGGGTCCTGCCCTCTTCCTGTCTGACTTAACTCCCACTTGGGCAGCGGCTTAATTTAGTGCAGAAAAAACAAAAACGCAGGACTGGCATTCATGGTGAGGCAGCTTTCGTTTCTCAGACCCTGCCGGGAGAGGCCTCGGGCCAGAAGCCGAGTCCTCTGAGGACACCGCATCTCCATGACCCAGGCGAGGGACTGACGGTCCTGCTCTGGAAGGACGGCTTTGAGAAGAGACCTGTCTTGTGCAAGCCCCTGGTCTCCTGGGTCCCGCTCATTTTGTGTGATTCGCCCCTGATTTCTAGGTGCACCCCAGCTATTATTCAAAAGCAGGCCAGTCTTCAGAGCTGGAAAAGGTAGAATGGGCTGCCTTTCCCAGGGTTTGCTTTGAGTTTCTTTAAGCAATGTCCTTTGGAAAACATCAAGATAAGACACAGGATGATGATGGGCCCAGTAGCGAGGCCCTTCCGAAAATCCAAAGCAGATTAGCTGTGTGGACTCACTGCTCAGGACTATGGAAACACTCCTGACTTCCAGGGGCTGAGCCGCATGGCTCTTATGTAAGGAGAAAGAAAATCGCCTTCTCTCCCACCCGGAAGGACTCCTGGGCAGGTTGGAATACCAGGAGTTCAAGGAGAAGCCTCGGCCAGGCCACGGGTGCTCCCTGGGTTCACCTCATGTCTCTTCCAGTCGGCTTAGGCTTCTCTTTGAGCTCTTTAAAGACAAGGGCGCGATCTCGGCTCACTGCAACATCCACCTCCTGGGTTCAAGCAACTCTCCTGCCTCAGCCTCCTGAGTAGCTGGGATTACAAGTGCCCGCCACCACGCCCGGCAAATTTTTGTATTTTTAGTAGAGACGGGGTTTCACCATGTTGGCCAGGCTGGTCTCGAACTCCGGACCTCAGGTGATCCACCTGCCTCGGCCTCCCAAAGTGCTGGGATGACAGGTGTGAGCCACCACACCCGGCCCCCTCCTCAGCATAATTGATTGGCTGAACAGAACTCTGGGAGCCATGGGGGGTGTCAGTGTTTGGTGCAGCTTATTGGTGGGGTGGTGGCTGAACGGTTTGGGGGAATCTGCATATGGGACCGGGGTCTCTACCTCAGCTTCTCCGTCAGTGTCAGTGCCGGGGCTGGATTCTCTCCAAGCCCCTCTGATTTCTTGTGTGTGTCAGTTCTGAGCATATCTGTAAATCTGTAAAGGAGGAGGACCGGGTGCAGTGGCTCACTCCTGTCATCTCAGCACTTTGGGAGGCCAAGGACGGGGGTGGATTGCTTGAGGTCAGGAGTTCAAGACCAGCTTGGCCAACATGGCAAAACCTCATCTCTACAAGAAATACAAAATAGCCAGGTGGGGTGGTACACCCTGTAGTCCCAGCTACTGGGGAGGCTGAGGCAGAAGAATCACTTGAACCCAGGAGTTCAACCCAGATTGAAGGAGGCGGAGGTTGCAGTCAGCCAAGATTGCACCACTGCACTCCAGCCTGGGTGACAGAGTGAGACTCTGTCTAAAAAAAAAAAAAAGCTGGTGGCTCACGTCTGTAATCCCACCACTTTGGGCGGCTGAGGTGGGCGGATCACGATGTCAGGAGATCGAAACCATCCTGGCTAACACAGTGAAACCCTGTCTCCACTAAAAATACAAAAAATTAGCCGGGCGTGGTGGCGGGCGCCCAGCTACTTGGGAGGCTGAGGCGGGAGAATGACGTGAACCCGGGAGGTGGAGCTTGCAGTGAGCCAAGGTCACGCCACTGCACTCCAGCCTGGGCGACAGAGGGAGACTCAGTCTCAAAAAAACACAAAAACAAAAACAAAAGAAGGAGGCCACACTGGGTGACAGGAACCTCTCCTCAGTGCCAGGGTGGCACCTTGGCAAGTCCTTTAAGTAGATCTGGCTTCCTGAACCCAGAGGACAACCTCAGGACCACCATCTTCCCAGACACCTTTCCCAATCTAACCAGGCTTTCATGCTTGGCTGGCAAATTCCCTCCAGTGAGTCCAGGCCTCCCACTGCCAACAAACCGTCTTTCTACAACCCCAGAAAGCACTGAGACTCCTCCTCCGATGCCACCTGGGCTGTGCAGATGGTGGGATCCAAAGGGGTAGGAGGTACAGCTGTGTCCCTGCATCAGAGGCCTGTGAAGCGGAGTGACTCCATCTTGAATAGCAGCTGGGTAAAATGAGGCTGAGACCTACAGGGCTGCATTCCCAGATGGTGAAGGCATTCTAAGTCACAGGATGAGATAGGAGGTCGGCACAAGATACAGGTCATAAAGACCTTGCTGATAAAACAGGCCGCGGTAAAGAAACCGGCCGAAACCCACCAAAACCAAGATGGCCATGAGAGTGACCTCTGGTGGTCCTCACTGCTACACTCCCACCAGCGCCCTGAGAGTTTACAAATGCTACAGCAACGTCGGGAAGTTACCCTATATGGTCTAAAAACGGGGAGGCATGAATAGCCCACCCCTTGTTTAGCATATCCTCAAGAAATAACCATAAAAATGGGCAACCAGCAGCCCTCGGAACTGCTGTAAGGAGTAGGCATTCTTTTTTTCCTTTACTTTCCTAATAAACTTGCTTTCACTGTATGGACTCGTCCTGAATTCTTTCTTGCCCAAGATCCAAGAATCCTCTCTGAGGGCCTGGATCGGGACCCCTTCCCAGTAACACTTGCAATACCATTTGGCCAGGACCGTGCACTGTGGATTTTGCAATCTCTTCCCGCAGACCCTGAATGAATGAACCACCTGCCAGCACACAGGCGCGTGCCAGGTTTTACCTTCTGTGGAGGGATGATGCCGACTTTCTGTTCTCAGCAAGCTGTCTCGGATCAGCTGTGTGACTTGGGGCAAGTGAAATCCCTCTCTGTTTCCTTACATGAAAGTGACAGCTAAGGGAGGTAAGAGGACGGAACTTGGCCAGCGGGTCTCTAAGATCTACCTGCTCTGAGTTTCTGAGTTTAACAGGTCTGGCCCAAGCAGGACAAATATCCTTTATCTTTACAAGGATGTGCACTGGGCTGCCACTGTCTCAGCCAGGGACGTCCAGGGTGTGACTCCTGAGCTGTCCTGTAGGTCTGGGTGAGGCTTCAGCTCCAGGCCCTCGGCTGAATACCCATCAGAACCCCCGGGGAGGGCTGCAGGTGGCGTGGGGACTCTGCACTTTCTGCTGACCTCGGAGACCCGTGAGCAACAGCCCAGTCCTACACCCCGCAGCTACGGAGACGAGTTCCCACTCAGGATAAGGCTTCGCTGTCAAACCGAAGGGGTGGGGAGAAGTGCTGTCTGTTTTTCAGAAGGGATTCTCCTGGGGGTGGGGTGGGCAGAGCGGTTAGCCCCGGTGAGGGAGAAGCCGTGGCCCCCACCGGGCGGCCGGTGGCCCTAGACGCAGCCCGCGGTCACCCTGCTGAGCGTGTCCACGAGCCTGCGCCAGCCGCAGAAGGTCTCTGCCCCGCGTGTCCTGCGTGGCCACACAGCCTGTCCAGCTGAGCACCAGGGGTGACCCGCGCCTGCGGAGCCCCCGAGGACAGGCCTCTCCTCCGGGACGGGCAGGAGCGCCAGGGCCCGCCTTCCGGGGCCAACAGGCGGCTGCGGCCACACGGAGCGCATTAACTGGTAATAATTTCCAGCTGTTTGCTCGCCGGCTTCGCGCGGCTCCCCAGGCCTCTGCGGGATGGGTCCCCCGACCGCGAGCTCGGAAGCTGTTAGCGCCTCCCGGGTCCCGCTGGGACAGGGCGAGGGGTCAACGCGCCCCCAGGGCCCCGGCGCGAGCGGGTCCCCGCGTCCACCTGTAGCGCGCTGGGGGCCAGACCCCGGGCTGGGGGGCCTTTGGCGCTCGGTGCCGCCAGCGCGCGGGGATCGGCCTCGG